>NC_000021.9:10324327-10487738 GCF_000001405.40 Homo sapiens
GATCCCTAATCCCATCACCATGGCGATAGGGTATAAACATTCCACGGTGAAGGCACAATCCACATTGTGAGGTCCAACTGCTGCCATGCAGACAGTTGTGCTTTTACATGTACAGGAAGGTCATTGAAGGCTCATTGTTCTGTTTCAAAAACTGAATCCCAAGCCCACATATTATTATGCTGTGCTTCTTAAAATAAGTTATTAGATTCGAAATAGGACACCCCCAAATATTTATATATATATATTTAATTATAGATAATATAATATAAAATATATATAATATATATATTATAGATATTTCCTTTTACATCCTGCATCCTGATATTATATATATTATATATAATATAATATAAAATATATAATTATATATATTGTATAATTATATATAATTATATTTATATAATTATATATAATTATATTTATACAATTATATATAATTATATAATAATATATAATATATACTATATACATTATATATTATATAATATATAATACATATAGTTTATATTATATATAATATATAATATATATAATATATAGTATATAATATATACTATATATTATATATAACATATAGTTTATATTATATATAATATATAGTATATAATATATATGATATATAATATATCATAATATAAGTACATTATATTATTATATATTATATTAAACATATAATATATATATTATATAGAATATAATATTATATAATATATAATAATATTAAATTAAATAATAATTATAATATATATTATGATATATAATACAATATAATATATTACATATCTTATAATATATATGTAATATATATATTTTATATATGTCATATATATTACATATCATATATCATACACAATATATAATATATATCATATATGTAATTTATATCATATATAATATATATCATATATAATATATTACATATGAAATATATTATATATATTATATATCACATATTATATATCATATATATAATGACATATATGTAATATATATTATATATTATCATATATATAATATATAATATATAATATATAATATATATAACATTTTATATACAATAAATTATATATTTCATATAATATATATTCTATGTCATATATATTATATATAATATATGTAAATGACATAGCATATATATTATATATATCATATATTAGGACATATTATATATGATATATATTATATATTACATATGTCATTTATTATATATATATAATTTTTTTTTAGACAGAGTTTTGTTCTGTTTCACAGGCTGGAGTGCAATGGCGCCATGTTGGCTCACTGCAAACTTTACCTCACGGGTTCCAGCGATTGTCCTGCCTCAGCCTCCCAGGTAGCTGGGACTACACCACACTGGGACTGCACCAGCTGCCACCACGCCTGGCTAATTTTTTGTAGTTTTAGTAGAGACAGGGCTTCACTGTATTGGCCAGGATGGTCTTGATCTCCTCACCTTGTGATCCTCTTGCTTTGGCCTCCGAAATTGCTGGGATTACAGGCCTGAGCCAAGATCCATATTTTTTAAATGAAGAAAAATTTCAAAGGTACTCTGCTTGGTAAAATAATCAAATATGTATATTGAGGAATAAAACATAACCATGAAACATATTTATAACTGCATATGGAAAATACAGAGGATAATTTTTTAAATAACAAATTTTGAAAGTATTAACTAATAATTTGAAAAGATCGCATTTGACAGGCCAGTATGAACATACCTCGATTGGAGGAACACAGGTTCCCCTTAAGAAAAATCAAAATCAGGGAAAATGAACCCACAAAATTTCAATCTGCTCTGACCTTTGAAAAACTCAGCCCAGACAGTGGCACTTATGACCAAGGGCAGGAGATTTCTAATCCCATCACCATGGCGATAGGGCATAAACATTCCTGGGTGAAGGCACAATCCACATTGTGAGGTCCTAGTGCTGCCATGCAGACAGGTGTGCTTTTACATGGACCGGAAGTTCATTGAAGGCTCAGTGTTTTTTTTCAAAAACTGAATCCCAAACCCACACATTATTATGCTGTGTTTCTTAAAATAAGTTATGAGATGGGAAATAGGGCACCCCCAAATATAGCCAATAGTGAGAGTTTCAAATTGAGGAAAGGCACAACTGATATGTTGAGAATAAACAGAGATTCCATTCTGTTTTTTCTTTTTCAACTTTTATGTTAGATTCAGGGTCTACATGTGCAGGTTTATTACCTGGGTGTATTGTGTGGTGCTGAGGTTTGGGGTGTGAATGATCCCAACACCCAGGTACTGAACATGGTATTCAGCAGTTTTTCAACCTTTTCCTTCCTCCCTCCCCCTCCTAGCAGTCCCTAGTGTCTATTTTCACCATCTTCATATCCATGGGTACTCAGAATTTAGCTCCTACTTATAGGAACATGAGGCGTTTGTTTTCTGTTACTACATTAGTTCACTTCCTGGATTCCAGCTGTAGCCATTTTCCCTCAAAGAACATAATTTCATTCTTTTTTGTGGCTGCATAGTATTCCATGGTCTATATGTACCACATTTTTATCCAGTCCACTGTTGATAGTCCACTGTTGATGGGCACCTAGGTTGATCCCATGTCTTTGCTAATGTGAATAGTGTTGCAATAAACATACAAGTGCATATGTCTTTTTGGTGGAATGATTTGTTTTCTTTTGGATACATATTCGGTAATGAGACTGCTGGGTTGAATGTTAGTTCGGTTTTATGTTCTTTGAGAAATCTCCAAATTGCTTTCCACAGTGGCTGAACTAAATTACATTCCCACCAAAGGTGTATAAGCATTCCCTTTTCTCCTTATCCTCGCCAGTATCTGCTATTTTTTTTTTTTACTTTTTAAAAATAGCCATTCTGACTGGTGTGAGATAATATCTCATTGTGGTTTTGATTTGCATTTCCCTCGTGATTAGTGATGATGAGCATTTTTTTCATGTTTGTTGGCTGCATGTATGTCTCCTTCTGAGAAGTGTCTATGTCTTTTGCCCCTTTTTAAATGGGGTTGTGTTTTGCTTGTTGAATTATGTTCCTTATAGATTCTAAATATTAGACCTTTGTTGGATGCATAGTTTGTGAATAATTTCCCCCATTCTGTAGGTTGTTTACTCTGCTGATGGTTTCCTTTGCTGTGTGGCAGCTCTTTAGTTTAATTAGGTCCCATTTGTCAACTTTTGCTTTTGTTGCAATTTCTTTTGAAGTCTTAGTCATGAATTATTTCCCATAGCCCATATCCAGAATGGTACTTTTGAAGTTTTTCTTCCAGGTTTATTTTAGTTTGAGGTCTTAAATTTAAATCTTTAATCCAACCTGAGTTAATTTTTGTATATGGTGAAAAGGTGACCAGTTTTTTGTTTTTTTGTTTTTGTTTTTTGTTTTTTGAGAGGTAGTCTTCCTTTGTCACGAGGCTGTAGTGGAGTGGTGCCATCTCAGCTCACAGCAACCTCCACCTGCCGGGTTCAAGCGATTCTCCTGCCTCAGCTTCCTGAGTCACTGGGATTACAGGCACGTGCTACCACACCCAGCTAATTTTTGTATTTTTAGTAGAGACAGGGTTTCACCATGTTGGCCTGGCTGGACTCGATCTTCTGACCTTGTGATCCTCCCACATTGGCCTCCCAAAGTGCTGAGATCACAGTCATGAGCCACTGTGCCTGGCCAATAAGGTGCATTATTAACATCAATAAAGCTCAGGAACCAGCTTTCACCATATTTTTGTTTAATTTACAGTTTTTCTCAGAGTCTTTGGAATAGATTCCTCCCTCCATGAGCCAGAGAACTTACAATGTTCACTGCAGTGTCTTTAAATGTAGCAGTAGCAGCTGTGGGTTGAGAACACAAGTCTTCCACTTTTCCTTTTAGAGCCAGCCATTCATGGTGCTCTGTGTTCTTATTCAGCATTGGGTAGGGGCATCTGGGTGCTGGGCATAGCACCAGTGCCCCATGGAGGAGGGAGGCAGGAAGCCCCTTTCTTCCTTCTCTAAAACCTTTTTTCTTTATGTAGATCCAAGTTTTTAGCCTATATCATTTTCTTCTCTCTGGATAACTTCTTTTAACATTTTGACAGATCTACTGACAGCAAATTTGTGTTTCTCTGAGAAAGTCTTTTTCTTCACTTTGGAAAGATAATTTTGCAGGATACAGAATTTTAGTTTGGTGGAATTTTTTTGCTTGCTTGCATGGGTTCTGAAGAAAAGTTTGATGCAATTTTTATTCTTATTCTAACAGGTGTTAGGCCCTGCTAAAGCCCAAGGTGGTTAGACTCTTGTGAAATGGTTTCCCTGGGGCAGGCTTTTGCTAAGGAGAACGGAACACCCAGGGCATATTTCAAAGTAGTTACTTTTCCCCTTCCCTGTGGGAAGCAGGAGGGAATTTTTCTCTGATGTGCATAAGAGCGTCTGGCAGAGCTCTTGGAGGTTCATGAAAGTGTAGGGCCCCCTAAGACTGGGCTCCCTTAATTCTTAATTCTCAAGTTTATGTGCATGGAGCCTCCAGCGATTTGTTGTTTACATGTAAGTCTTCCCACCGTGGTTCTGGCTCCAGTGGCCAGCCTCCGATCCTGTTAGGCTGGGACTCACTGCCTCTCCAATTTGGGGGATAACGGTTTTCCCTGTTAACCTCAAGTCTCTGATGGATCTAAGAAAAGTTGTAATTTTCAGTTTGTTCAAGGTGTTTTTTGTTGTCGTTGTGAGGACAGGAGTGACAGCTTCCAAGCTGGAAAACAGAAGTCACATTTGGGTTTTGTTTCAAGATATTTTTCCAATGACAGAGAATGATGCCACACACATTTCCATAGATGTCTTTTGATGCAGATGTGCATGCGTTTCTGTTATCCTAAGAGTGAAATACCTGAGTCCTAAATGTGCTCCTTTCTAGAACCTTTATTCAATGCCAAACACAGTATCCCCTCCAGCAGTGATGAGAGTTCTTGTTGCTCCAGATTCTCTCCAACACTTGGTGTTCTATCTTTTACATTTTAGCCGTTTTGGAGGATATGTTATCCTGTTGTGATGTTAATTTGCATTTACATGAATACTAAGAAAGCTGAACACATTCAAGTTTTGCTTTTATAAATTACACGTTTAAGTGTTTTACCCATTGTTCTTTCTCTTAGTGATTTTTAAGAGCTCTTTACATATTGTTGATGTGAGCCCTCTGTCAGTTCTGTGTTCATAGATCTGTTTCCACTCTGCAACTTGTCTTGTCACTTTCTTAGTGGTGTCTCTTAATAAACAGAAATTCTTAATTTGAATATAGTCTAATTTATCAACTTATTCCCTTAAAACTATGGCTCATTGTGATCTGTTTAAGAAATCTGTCCCCATTCATGGTCATAAAAATCGTCTGGGCACGGTGGCTCACACCTGTAATTCCAGCACTTTGGGAGGTCAAGGTGGGCAGATCACCTGAGATCAGGAATTCGAGACCAGCTGGCCAACATGGTGAAACCCTGTCTCTACTAAAAACACAAACATTAGCCAGGTGTGGTGGCAGGTGCCTGTAATCCCAGCTACTCGGGAGGCTGAGGCAGGAGAATCACTTGAGCCCAGGAGGTCAAGGCCGCAATGAGCAGTCATTGTACCACTGCATTGCAGCCTGGGTGACAGAGCAGGATGCTCTTTCAAAAATAAACATAAAAGTAAATCTGATGAGCTCTAGGATTTCTAATTTGAAGACAGAAGCAATAAACAAAATGAGAAACCAAAATACATTCGTTTTGATTAAAGCCGAGGTCAGCCATAACTCTGAACCTAAAAAGGAGGTCACCTGAAGCAGCTGTGAGTGAGCAGGGTAAGATAGGAAGCAGAGAACCGATGCTCATTGCCAGATCTTAGGAAAAAAATAATAAATTAGGATGACATACTTTTGCAAAATTAAAGAAATCCCCTGAGGTGCTAATACAAAATTTCATTTGTGATAGGACTAATAAAGAAATTCAGCTAGTAGTGGGATCTGTCGTGGACTGAGTTTGATTCCAAGAACAGAAGAGGCAGGACCAGTGAGAAATAGCACAGACATATTTGCAAAAGCAGCCCTCCCACGTTAGGAAGAAGGGATACTTTTGCACAGTGAACAGCACTACAACTGCTCATCTCTTTCATGTACTATCACACATGGAATGACTGAGATACTCCTGTGTTCCACACATAGTCCTCCCTGCCCCTACTGAATAGAGAAACCCAATTTCACCTTGGCTATCTCTAGATCAATTACCTGTTAATAGGTCTGCTGTTTTCTTTACCGTTAGTTTCAAGAAGAACTAAATATCCCCAAATGGTATTTCAGCTTCCACTTAATGAAACCTGTCATCTTAAGCCAGACCCTGGCCTCAGCACAAGCTCCAGCGCAGACCCCAGCAACCGCTCTGCCTGGTCCTGTTCTTCCAGGGCCCTTCCCTGGTGGCCGTGTGGTCAGGCTGCACCCAGTCATTTTGGCCTCCACTGTGGACAGCTACGAGAGACGCAACAAGGGTGCTGCCCGAGTTATCGGGACCCTGTTGGGAACTGTCAACAAACACTCAGTGGAGGTCACCAGTTGCTTTTCAGTGTCACACAATGAGTCAGATGAAGTGGCTGTTGACATGGAATTTGCTAAGAACATGTATGAACTGCCTAAAAAGTTTCTCCAAATGAGCTCATCTTGGGGTGGTACGCTGCAGGCCATGACATCACAGAGCACTCTGTGCTGATCCATGAGTACTACAGCCGAGAGGCCCCCAACCCCATCCACCTCACTGTGGACACAAGTCTCCAGAACGGCCATATGAGCATCAAAGCCTATGTCAGCACTTTAATGGGTGTCCCTGGGAGGATCGTGGGAGTGTTCACACCTCTGACAGTGAAATACGCATTCTATGACACTGAATGCATCAGAGTTGACCTGATCATGAAGACCTGCTTTAGCCCCAACAGAGTGGTTGGACTCTCAAGTGACTTGCAGCAAGTAGGAGGGGCATCAGCTCGCATCCAGGATACCCTGAGCATAGTGTTGCAATATGCAGAGGATATACTATCTGGAAAGGTGTCAGCTGACAATACCATCAGGAAGGTGGGCCACTTCCTGATGAGCCTGGTTAACCAAGTACCAAAAATAGTTCCCGATGACTTCGAGACCATGCTCCACAGCAACATCAATGACCTGTTGATGGTGACCTAACTGGCCAACCTCACACAGTCACAGATTGCCCTCAATGAAAAACTTGTAAACCTGTGAAGGGACCCCAAGCAGTACGCTTGCTGGTCTAGGTCTTAACCCCAGGACTCAGAAGTGAAGGAAAAATGGTTTTTTTGTGGTCTTGAGTCACACTGAGACAGTCAACTGTGTATGACTCTAATAATCATAGCCTACCTTTTGTAAATTAAAAAAAAAAAGAAGTTAGTTTCCTCCCTGGGGAATCATTATCTCTAAATGAGGAGAACCCAAAGTTTCACAAAAGGGAAGAAAAAGTCTGCAAGTGCAAATTAGGCATAATAGTGCAGGGAGCCCCCTCCCCTTGACTTTCAGATTCATGTGTTTTTGTTGTAAGATAAATAACACTACACGGTGGTCACTGACTCTAAGTTTATACCACACACTGTAGGACAACATCCCAACCTCACTATGTGTTGTTTACCAGCTGGGAGCATTAACTGAGTTACATGATTCCATTCCATCATGTCAGATTCTTCTAGGTGATAGGGATTATGTTGTAAATCCAATGAATTGCACAAACATGAGCCTAATACCATATTTTTTTTGCAGTGAAATGAATTCCTTAGTCAAAAACAATGTTGTATGGGATATCATGATGGTGAATAACAAATTATTTAAGTTCACTCATGGTAGTACCAGCAGAAAAATTGCAAATGTAAAAGGTGAGTTCGTACCCAGAATAAGTGTCTATTTCAGTGAGAACAAAATCCCTGAGGGATGGGTTTCAATGTCATCAATCTGCAAGTTGACTGGGTAGCCCCTGAGGGAAGGCTGTCATATTAGCCTTAGTTGTTCTACATTGGTCCAGATACAATTTGATTATGTAAAGTCGTGAATACCTTCTATCCTTAATATTATGTGCATCTGTTCATGAGCCCATTGAACAAGTATCAGCTGACTAACATCTATTATATAACATGTCATTGTATGCATACGATTACTCCTCTTCAGTGGATTCCCTCTAATAAGAATTTACTTGGGCTACAAGTATTTTCATACTTCGTGTCTATTTTAAGAAGTCATCTTCGGCTGGGCTTGGTGGCTCACACCTGTAATCCCAGCACTTTGGAAGGCCAAGGTGGGCGGATCAGGAGGTCAGGAGATCAAGAACATCGTGGCTAATACAGTGAAATCCAGTCTCGCCTAAAAATACAAAAAAATTAGCTGGGCCTGGTGGTGGGCACCTGTAGTCCCAGCTACTCAGGAGGCTGAGGCAGGAGAATGGCGTGAACCCAGAAGGTAGAGCTTGCGAGCTTGCAGTGAGCTGAGATCGCGCCACTGCACTCCAGCCTGGGTGACAGAGTGAGACTCTGTCTTGAAAAAAAAAATCCAACTATTCAAAAGTAAAGAAAAAAATATGTCAATCCACCATGTGTCCACTGCACACCATCACAAATTTTAAACCATGCATGAGCTCACATTTTGAATAGAAGGATCTTGGGGACAGGGGACACTAAAAGCCCCAAATATGGTCCTGTGTGGCATAATGGTTTTTTGGTAAATGCTACACTGCATACAATGGTGGTCGCTTAAGATAACAGAGCTGAAAAATTCTTACCATCTAGTAACACTGTGGCCATGATGACATCATAGCACAACGCATTACTCATGTGTTTGCAGTGAGGCTGGTATAAGCAAACCCACTACATTTGTCAGTGGCATTAAAGGTTAGCACATCTAATTATGTACCATATGTCATACTTGTTAATGATAATAAATGACCATGTGACTAGTTTATGTACAGTTGCTCCTTGAACAGCATGGATTTGAAATGCACAAGTTCACTTATATGCAAATTTCCTTCTGTTTCTCCCACCCCTGAGACAACAGGATCAACTTCTCCTCTTCTCTTCCTCAGGCTGCTCAACATGAATATGCAGACGAAGACCTTTATGATGATCCACTTTCACTTAATGAATAGTAAACATATTTTCTCCTCCTTATGATTTTCTTAATAGAATTTTCTTTTCTCTTTCTTTAAGAATACAGTATATAATTAACAAATTATGCATTAATTGTTTATTTGATCAGCAAAGCTTGCAGTTAAGAATAGGCTATTAGTAGTTAAGTTTGGGGATAGCCCAGAGTTATATATGGATTTTCAACTGCACAGGAGCTGG
This sequence comes from Homo sapiens, assembly GCF_000001405.40. Taxonomy (NCBI): domain Eukaryota; kingdom Metazoa; phylum Chordata; class Mammalia; order Primates; family Hominidae; genus Homo; species Homo sapiens. The sequence goes on from NC_000021.9 coordinate 10,333,637, forward strand.
TCCCCTAACCCTTGCACTGTTCAAGGATCAACAGTATTTACAATACTATACATTTTATTCATATTTTAGAGTGTAGTACTTCTACTCATGAAAAATAATTAACTATAAAACAGCGTCGGGAAGGTCTTTCAGGAGTTCTTCCAGAAGAAAGCCTTGTTATCATAGAAGATGACAGCTGCATATATGTTATTGCCCTTGAAGACCCTGAAGACCTTTCACTGGGACAAGATTTGGAGATGGAAGACAGTGATATTGATTATCCTGACCCTTACAGGGCTAAGCTAGTGTGTGTGTTTGTATCTTAGTTTTTAACAAAAAAGTTTAAAACATAAAAAATAAAAATAAATAAAGCTTATCGAATAAGGATATAAAGTATTTCTGTACAGCTGTTCAATGTGTTTTTGTTTTAAGATGTGTTATTATAAGAATCAAAAAGTTAAAAAAATTAAAAGTTTATGAAGTTACGATAAGCTAAGATGAACTTGTTAAAGAAAGAAAAATTTCAAATACATTTAGTGTAGCCTAAGTGTACAGTGCATATAAAGTCTATAGTTATGTACAGTAATATCCTAGGCCTTTGCATTCACTCACCAAGTACTCACTGACTCATCAGAGCAACTGCCAGTCCTGCAACCTCTGTTCATGCTAGGTGTCCTATACTGGTGTACCACTCTCTTTAACTTTTGTAATATATATATATATATTTTTTTTTCTTTCTTTTTTTTTGAGAAGGAGTTTTATTTTGTTGCCCAGGCTGGAGTGCAATGGCACGATCTTGGCTCACTGCAACCTCTGCCTCTGGGGTTCAAGTGATTCTCCTGCCTCAGCCTAATGAGTAGCTGGGATTACAGGCCCATGCCAGCACACCCAGCTAATTTTGTATTTTTAGTACAGATGGAGTTTCTCCATGTTGGTCAGGCTGGTCTCGAACTTCTGACCTCAGGTGATCCGCCTGCCTCGGTCTCCCAATGTACTATGTTTTTACTGTATCTTTTCCATGTTTAGATATTACTATTGTGATATAACTGCCTACAGCAGTGGTCCCCAAAGTTTTGACACCAAGGACTGGTTTTGTGAAAGATAATTTTTCCGCGGAGTGGGGATGGCTTTGGGCTGAAACTGTTCCACTTCAGATCATCAGATCATCAGGCATTAGATTCTATTTTTTCTTTTTTTTTTTTTTTAGACTGAGTCTCCCACTGTCGCCAGGCTGGAGTGCAGTGGCACAATCTCGGCTCACTGCAACCTCTGCCTCCTGGGTTCAAGTGATTCTCCTGCCTCAGCCCCCCGAGTAGCTGGGACTACAGGCATGCGCCACCACACCCAGCTAATTTTTGTATTCTTAGTAGAGACGGGGTTTCCATGTTGGCCAGCAGTGTCTTGACCTTGTGATCCACCTGCCTCGGCCTCCCAGAGTGTTGGGATTACAGGCATGAGCCACAGCACCCAGCCTAGTTAGATTCTTATAAGGAGCACACAACCTAGATCCCTTGTATGTGCAGTTCACAATAGGGTTTGCGCTCCTGTGAAGGTCTAATGCTGCTGCTGATCTGACAGGAGGTGGAGCTCAGGAAGTAATGCTCAGCTGGCCAGCCACTCATCTCCTGCTTTGTGCCCAGTTCCTAACAGGACACGAACCGGTGCTGGTCCATGGCTTGGGTGTTGGGGACTACTGGCCTACTGTATTCAGCACAGTGACGTGCTGCACAGGTGTGTAGCCCAGGAGCAATAGGCTGTACGATATAGCCTAGGTATGTTGTAGGCTACACTGTCTAGGTTTGTATAAACTACATTCTATGGTGTCTGCACAGCCACAAAATCACGTAATGATGCATTTCTTGGAATATATTACCATTAAATGAGATTTACCTGTATTAGTGTCATCTCAGGTTTATTGTCTAGTAATTTTAAAAGTATTTGTATATTCTTTCCCAGACACATCATCATACTCCGGTGCATATCTCTATTTTATTCCCTAGACCCATTCTTAATTTTTCTACGTTCTGCTTTGTTCCTTAGGAGGCTCACCTGAATTGGATACTGCAGAGATCTCCCTTACCCTCATGCTTTTATTGGGGTTCAGCTAATGGAGGGGGTGGCAGAAGATAGGTGAGAGAAGAGTGTGTTTATCCCCCACCTCTGCCCCTGCAGGGTCAGCACAGGCAGACTGTGTCCCTTTGCTGAAGATCACAGCTTCTGTCTGGTGCCTTCTTGGCAAGCTGGCACTCTCTCTAGTCAGGTGACTGCTTGGCCCCTTACTACTTACACTCTTCTGTCTGGTTTCTTTGTGTCTTTCCTGCTGTGCTGTAAGTAGTCCCTTTATTAGAATCCATCCACATTACCCAGTTATATAAAGACAAATAGTTGGTCACTGATCTAGTTCACTCCCTAAGAATCAGCCTTCATCAAAGATCCCTAGCAGTCAGATATTCTGTTGGCCGCTCCATTCCTGCTCCCCATTATTCTAGTTGTGTCTTCCTTGTCTCTAGTGCAATCACAAAGCATAAGCGCCTCCACTGTCACTTGTTCTAGGATCACATCATTCCCCTTGAAATCAGAGAACCCACAATCTCCCCAAGCCCACAAAATTCAGCCGTCACAGTACTTTTCAAACATGCCAGCAGCCCTCCCCAACAAACGAATCCTTAATTTCTTAGAGAAACATCTTCTGGGGCTTCCTGTGGGACACAGTGGGGGTCGGCTTGGCATGTGGATCACACCTGATATTTTTACCCCCACCTCCTACTATTCCTATTCCTTTGTATGCACCTCTCTTTATTATGCTAGGAAAGCTCTGGCAACACAACCTCAAAATAAGCAGGCCAGTGTGGATTCACAGTTTCTGTCAGACAAACTTGAGCACCCCTTCTAACTTCTTGGGCTAAGACTTTAACTTCAGAATCTCTATGTATCCATGTTGATAAACTTAGCCTATGTCAAGATTATATTCTGCATGCCTTAGTCAAACACCATGTAAATCTATGCCTCATATATTCTCTAGGCTTTAGCTGATAGGGATTAGCAAAGTAGTGTGGTTGTTTTGGTCTTTAAACAATGTCCATTTTCTACCAGCTTTCCATTGCACTCTTTTTTTTTTTTTTTTGAGATGGAGTCTTGCTCTGTCGCCCAGGCTGGAGTGCAGTGGTGCAGTCTCGGCTCACTGCAAGCTCTGCCTCCTAGGTTCACGCCATTCTCCTGCCTCAGCCTCCCAAGTAGCTGGGATTACAGGCGTGTGCCGCCACGCGCGGCTAATTTTTTGTATTTTTAGTAGAGACGGGGTCTCACTGTGTTAGCCAGGATGGTCTCGATCTCCTGACCTCATGATCGGCCCGCCTTGGCCTCCCAAAGTACTGGGATTACAGGCGTGAGCCACCACGCCGGGCCGACTCCATTGCACTCTTACAGACCATGTTGACAAAATTATAACTGCAACAGTCAACTACAATAGCAATTTTACCTCTCATATACCACTTGAAAAAACACATCATTCCCAATAACCACATTTGATGATTTAAGTAATCACGATACCACCGTACACTACAGATGATCAGGTTTCTGTCTCCTCCTGACAAGAAGGTCAGGAATTCATTCCGACTAAAACGGGTCAGCAAACCAGTTCCAGGTTCTCATCTGTAAAGATCTACTTCTAGAGGTGTCCACCTGGAGCCTGGTGAACATTGGACATCAAACACCAGGTTGACACTATTTCTTCATCTTCAACAAAAACCACACAAACAAGCTTTGGAGAAAGAACTCCCTCCTCTCAATAGATGGTGCTGGGATAAAACGGCTAGCCAGTTGCAGAAGAAAAACAGTGGGCCCCTGTGTCTCACCATGTACAGAAATTAACGCAAGATGAATGAAAGCTGTAAATGCAAGACCTCAAACTATTAAAAGCCTGCAAGGGAACCTAGGAAATACACTTCCTGACAGAGGATTTGGCACAGCATGGATATGCCTAAGTCCCCAAAAGCAAGTGCAACTAAAACAATTATTGACAAGTGGGACCTAATATATAAAAGAGCTGCTGAACAGCAGAAGAAATTACCAACAGAGTAAACAGAAAGCCTACACAATGGGAGAAAATGTCCCCACATATGCATCTCATGAAGTCTGATTTCCAGGATCTACCTCAAAAATGTTAAGCAAATAAATCAGCAAAACAAAAACTCAGTGAAGAAAGGGCAAAGGGCATGAAAACACACATCTCAAAGGAAGGTTTATAGCAACCAACGGACAGGACATTTCTCTACCTCAGTAATCATCAGAGAAATGCAAAGCAAAAGGCCCATGAGATAGTATTTCACACTGGTCGGAATGACAATTATGACACAGTCCACAAGAATGAATGCCAGCGAGGCAGAGGAGGAGAGGATGCTGGTCTGCTGTTGGTAGAAATGCAAACTAGTTCAGACACCATGGAAAACGATGTGGGGATTTCTCAAATAACTTTCTCGACATCACCAATCCTCACAAAAATGTCCACAAAAACCACACTAAGAGTCCATCTCATTCCACTCAGAATGAATACTACCAAAGACAAACAAAACACAAATTTTTAAAGGTGACAGCCAGTGTAGACTTACAGAAGAGAAACCTCTTAAATGCTATTGGTGGGGATGTAAATTAGTATACACACTATGAAAAACAGCTAGAGGTTCCTGAAAAAATTCACAGTACAACTACCATGTCAGCTAGAAGCCCCATCACTGGTTCCACAATTAAAGCACTTGAAATCCCTAGGTTGAAGAGAGTTACCTGCCTTCCCATGGGTACTAAAGCACCCCTAACTGTGGCCAAGGTACAAAACCAACCTACCTGTCCGTACACAGCTTCAGGGATGAAGAAACTGCCATACAGATACACCACGGAATATGTTTCAGCCATAAAGCTTTGGGAAATCCTGCCATCTGCAGCCACATGAAGAAACCTGGAGAACATCAGGTCCAACAAATGAGCCTGGCAGAGAAAGTCCCATGCCACGTGATCTCAGACATGTAGACTGAAAAAAGCTTTATCTCCTAGAAGTAGAAAGTTCAATAGGGATTACCAGAGGCTGCTGGGGAGGTGGAGAGGGTCGGGGAAGGAATCAGTAATGGGTACAAAGTTACTCTTAGATGACAGTAATCAATTCTGGTCTTCTATTCTACAGCAGGGTGACTAGCCTTAATACAAATGTATCATATATTTCAAAGTAGCTAGAAGGAAAGATTCTGAATGTTGTTACCACTCAAAAAGTAGTAACTATGAGGTGAAGAGATGCTAAATAACTTGATTTTTTCATTACTCAACATATACATGTATCGAAATCTTCCTTGTACCCTCTACTTATATACACTTAGTGTATGGCAAATAGTGTTTTAAGAAATACAAAGAAACAATGCCAAAATTTATGTGGAAATACGAAACACCCTGAATTTCTAAAGCAATCCTGAGAAATACAAACCATATGGGCTGCATCACATTCCCTGAGTTCGAATTAAACGAAAATCCCTAGTTAACCAATCCATATGTTACTGGCATACACAGAGAAACACAGACCAGTGAGCAAAATGAGAGCGCTCAATAATAAACACAAATTTACACAGAGTGAACACATTTTTCAAAACACCACCAAAACAACACAATGGGGAAGGTTTCCAAAACTAGATATCCATATGCAAAAGAATAATACAGGACTCTTGTGGTACTAAATAATACAGGACTCTTGTGGTACCAAAAAAAACACTTTAACTCAAAAGGATTAAAGATTATTCACAAAACTTGCAACCATAAAGCTCTTATAAACACAACCTCGAGTGTGTGTATATTTAGGGAAGCTTGGATGTATGCTCACGGTTTGCAAAAAGTGTGGTACTAAATAATACAAATAGTGTGTACTAAATAATAAAAAATATTTTTATTTTGTATTATTTTGTATTTATACTAAATAATACAAAATATATTTAGTGTACTAAATAATACAAAAAGTGTGGTACTAAATAATACAGAAATAATTCACAAAACTTGCAACCATAAAGCTCTTATAAACACAACCTCGAGTGTGTGTATATTTAGGGAAACTTGGATGTATGCTCACAGTTTGCAAAAAGTAACAAAAATACAAGGGAAAAATCACTGACAATGGACTGCTTTGGCACTGATTTTGTTTTTTCTTGATTAGTAAACAATAGCACACTAACCAAGAAATTATACACATGTGGTACCTCATCAAACTGAAGAATTTGTGCCCAAAAAAGGAAAGAACGAACAAAATGAAAAGGCATACTAAAACTTATAAGAAAAGTTTGGGCAAACATACAGTGGATAACAGGTTACTTTTGAAAAGGCACAAGCCAGTAACACTAACAGCTGGCAAAAAAACAAAACAACAGAGAAATAACCAGACCAAAATTGGGCAAATAACCTGAGTAGATATTTGTGCAAAGAAGACAGAAAACAGATTCAACATTTATAAAAACGTGGTTAACATTACTACTCATGAGAAAAATGTAGATCAAAACCACTCTCAGATCTTATCTCACTCCAACTAGAATGAACATCACAAAAAGATTAAAATATTTAAAAAGAAAATTCCTAGTATGAATTTCCAGAAAGGGGGACTGTTTGTGGAAATGTAAATTGGTATTAACACTATAAAAAACAGTTGGGGGTCCTGCAAACAATAGAAAAAAAAAAAGGAAATACCATACCATCTAGCAGTCCCACTACTGGCTATACATTCAACCTACCTGTTCACCCACAGATAAAGAGATCAAGAAACTCTCATATACATACACTGGGGAATATTCTTCGGCTATCAGAATAATCAAACAGTGTCATTTAGAGCAACCCAGATGAACCTGGAAAACATTATGTTAAATGTGATGAGCTAGGCCTAGAAAGACAAACACTGCATGATACCACTCATGTGAAATCTTAAGATGTTTATCTTAAAGAAGTAGAAAGCACAATATTGGTTACCAGAGTCCGGGAGACAGAAGGGGAATGGAGAAGGATTGGTTATGGAAACAAAGTTATCTTAACATTAAAAGAATAAATCTGAGTGTTCTCCTCAGCCTGGTGACTGGACTTAACCGTATTACATTTTTCTAAAGAGCAAGGAGAATTTTGAATGTTCTCTTTACACAAAAATAATACCTGTATGAGGGAATAGAGATCCTAAGTACCCTGATTTGATCATTACCCAATATATATGTATAAAAATGTACCCCTAATTATGGCCCTTTATGTTGTAAAAAAATTAACAGAAATAAATACATAGTGCTAAAAATCACAGGGAACCACAAAAGCAATGAATATCTAAAGGAATCTTGAGAAATACAATCAAAGTGAGAACCCATAATCCTTGATATCAAATTAAATTGCCAAGTTGTAGTTATGCAGTAGATATATGGTACTTGCATAAAAAGAAATACCTAGAACTATGGACAAAAACAGGGAGGACAAAAACAACACAAATATGGACACAGTCAACTGACTTTGATAAAGAACACCACAACGTGGAAGGCAGAGTCTGATCAATGAATAGCTTTGAGAAAAATGATATCCGGATGCAAAAGCGAGAAACAGGACCCTTATTTTACACGATGTATGAAAATCAACCGCCCCCCCCATCAACTGAAGGCCAAAACAAAATACCATAAACCACAAAATGTTTTTTAAAAAATTACTGTGTTTACTTAAGTAAAACACAGGTTGAGCATATATTTTGGGTCACTTGAATCTCTGTTAACCTTTGCAAAGAGGAAAAGAAACAAACACCCTGGAAGAAAAACCTCACTGACAATTAAATGCTTTGTTACTGATGCATATTTTCTAATATGGGTGACCATTATGACACGCATAAAACGCAAAAAAAAAAAAATATGGGACTACATCAACGTGAAAAGTTTCTGCATAGCAAAGAAAACTACTTTCCAAATAAAAAAGCATCCCATAGATTATGCAAAAATTTCAGGCAATCATGTAATTCACGAGGAGTTGTCAACTAACGTGTACACAAAAAAGAGTACAAAGTAGAAAAAGAATCCAATCTAATATTTCGCAAATAACCTGAAGAGACAATTCTGCACAGATATAAAATCGAACAACAGATAAGAGATAAGGTCCTCAAAATTAACTATTCATTAGAATACTGTAATTCAAAACCACACGCAGATAGTCTCACACTTATTGAATATTCCTAGAAAATTTTTTTAAAAATAGGAGGGTCTGGGAGCCGTGGCTCACGTCTGTAATCCCAGCACTTTGGGAAGCCAAGGCGGGTGGATCACCTGAGGTCACGAGTTTCAGACCAGCCTGACAAATATCGTGAAACCCCGTCTCTACTAAAAATAAAAATACAAAAATTACCCGGGCGTGGTGGCGGGCGCCTGTAGTCCCAGCTACACAGGAGAATTGCTTGAAACCGGGAGGTAGAGGTTGCAGTGAGCCGAGATGGCGCCACTGCGCTCCAGCCTTGGAGACAGAGCGAGACTCCGTCTCAAAATAACAAAAACAAAAACAAATTGGAATGGGGGTTTGGTTTTGGAGAAAGGGGAACTCATACACTGTAGGTGGAAATGAAAATTAGGGTACACACCATGGAAAACAGTTAAATAGCTGGAAACTCCTCAAAGAATTGAAACTACAGATGTCCCCTGCTCTAGCGAGGTCTCTTTCTAAAGGTCCTGAGGCATAAAAAATAACCCTAGACCCCAGCTCAGAGGCCCGTGGGGCTCGGAGGGACCCAGTCCAGCGCTTCACCGCCGGCTCTGGGCCAGGGCGCTCCTATAGGCTGGACGTGGGTCGGACAGGGGCATAGCCTTCCCGGCGGGGGTGTGGACGCTGCCGAGGCCCGGATCCCACAACCGCCCCAACGCTGACGACTCGGGCCCAGATGCCCACTTAGAAGTGAGGGCCCGAAAGCAGGGAGCGGCCGGGAAGGAGTAGGGAGACCCAGAGGGTTCCAGGTGGGGTTCATCCCCCTCCACTTACCGCCGAGGCCTGCCACCTCCTCCACCAACAAACGGAAGCCACCACATCTTCTCCGAGACTCGCTCTGACCACGCCGCCGATGCTGCCCGGGCCTCGCACGAAGCGCAGTCTCGGCTTCCGTCGGGGCCTGCATGCTGGCAGCGTCCCTGGCGCCAGGCTGAAGCACCACCCCCTCTTAAAGGGGCCGCGGCTGGGACTGGGCAGAAGCAGCTTCGGGTTGCACAGGCTGAGCGTCTGCCCAGCCCCAGGGGTGGACGAAAGGCCCCCAGTCTCTCATCCTCCCGGGCTCTAGGGCCCTAGAGGTCGCAGAAGCCCCTCCTGTGACCCCAGCCCCTAAATCGGCTCCCTTTGCCTGAGGAGCGCCCGGGACCTGCCCCTGCCCTCCTCGGGACCTCAGCTTCACCATCCTCAAAGAAAGCGGCCTGGCTGGAGCTCTGGGGTCCCTCAAGCTCGGCGCCTCAGGATCCAGGGTGGGCTCCCCTGCCCCTCTGCAGAGGGGGCCCAATAGCCACGGAAAGCTGGGGGCTGGAGGGACAGTCCCGAGGGCAGCAGGGCGTCCTTGGCCTCACCGTCTACATTCGTCCTGTGGGAGCCCGGGTGCGTCGCTAGGGCCCAGACTCCTGCGGCCTCACCAGGGCTGCCTGGGTCACCGGGCTCCCCAGGAGGCAGGCAGGGACCCTGGGGTCCAGCGCTGCCCCCACCTCAACTCCATTCAGCGTCAGCATCCGCGAGGGGATCCTGCGGACTGGACCCAGACCCACTCCTTCCCGGGGAGCGGGACCCGCATCGGTCTCTGTGACACCCAAGGGAGGGGCCGTGCTGACCTCTCCCGGGGATCTGGGGGCGAGGTGGGGGAATCTCGGCCACCTCTTGAAGCTCGCTGAGCCCCCCACCCCAGAGAGCGCTCAGGAGCAAAGGAAAGGACGGAGAGCCCACACATTTTCTATCTTTCATTTCCGTTTTTTCTTTTTTCCCCCCTCCAAAATGAAAGACGTGTGTAGCTTTGTCCCCTGTACACCATCCATTTCCCAGGGCCGCTGTGCGGATCCAGCCCGCTGGTTGCCTCTAGAGTCCTGGGCGCCCGGCGGTCCGCATGCAGCCCGGGGCCTGCCCAGGTGAGGTCTGCGGCCGCCACAGCGCTGAGGTCCCGCTTGGCCGGGGCGCACGGGCCGCTGGGGATGCTGGCTGCGAGGCTCCGGGGAGGTGGAGCGGGAGGTTGTCCCAGGCCCTGGCTGCAGAGCTCTTGATGTCACGCCTGACACCCTCCATCCACCGCCTCGGGGCAGCGCTTCAGAGCCCCGGCAGAGGCAAGAAGTCGATCACTTCGTTCTTCATTCGTTGGAAAAATGGAAAAGCACATTATAATCCCTGGAACAACCACTTCAGAGAAAGAGCAAAAAATTAAAATAGGATTGTAAATGACACACTGAAATAAGTTGATTTTAAAAATGGTAGTCAATGGAAAAACAGGATCAGAAGACAGGAGAGACAGGGAAAACAAATAAGTTATCTGACTGAAACAGAATTAGAAACTAACAACAGTAAGAAATATTGGACATCTGAAAATATGTGAAAATTTAACAACCCACCTCTAAATCATTGGATCAAAAAAAATCACAAGATAAATTGGAAAATATTTTGAGCTGCACTCCAGTTTGGGTAACAGACTGAGACCTTGTTTCTAAGAAAACAAAACAAACTTCAAAAAGCTATAAAATTAAATGCCAACTTTCCCCTTTACCCAAACTATCCGTGGCTCTCCTTTGCCCTCAGAGTCAAGCCCATGCTTCTCACTGTGGGCTCCAGGACCTAGGTGGCCTGACCAATGCACACCCTATCACGATCTCCTCCTCTGCCCACTTGCTCACGCTGTCCAGTCACACACACTCTTTATTTTTGCAAATGCCAAGCTCCTGATCACCGCTGGGCCTTTGCCACTGCAGTTCCGCCTGCCAGGACCAGTCTTTCCCTAGACCTTCCCATTCCTGCCTCTTCCTGGCTTGGCTGCCTCTTTCTGGTGCTTCAGGTCTCAGATCAAATGTCACCTCTTCAGAGAGGACTTCATTGAAATCTCTGCCTAACACAGCCCGTATCAAGGTCAACACTTTTCTCTTTTTAGACTTAGGTTTTGATATAAAGAAGTTTCATAAAAATGACTTGGGCAGCTATCATCTGTTTAAAAGGTCTGACTTTGTTGAAATAATTTGGGCTTTCCTGTTCTTTGAGTTTTGATAAAACAACTGTAAAACCATCTGCCTTTTTAAAAAAAATTGAGATTGATGTATACTTTCTGTTATTACTATTTTTTTACATTCTGTCTCCCAGGCTGGAACACAGTTGCTCGTAGCTCATTGCAGCCTCAAATTACCTTGCCTTTGTAACAGTAGGTCCTCAGTCACCTTTCTCATCTACAGATGTTGGTTTACTTAAGCTTTCTAATTACTTGGAGGTCAGCTTAGCTCAGTGGTTAGCACAAGTTGCTAATAAATGCTCGAGTATGAGGGTGCAAAGAAAGGGGTAGGGAGGTGCAAGACCCTTGGCTTCAAATGCCCAGTCCCCTACTCATCTGCTCAGGCCCCTGTCTAGCCTCTGTATCTAAGCCAAACTACATGCCTCCTCCCCTGAGAAGCCCTCTTGGATTTCTCCTGTCCCGTCTTCCCTGCTCTATCCTCGGGTGAGTGGATCCATCCATCTGCCTCTGTGCTGGGCAGATGCCACTGCTCTCTGCTTTCTGGCTGGACGAGGCAAGGGGGAAGTTGTGTGTGTAGAAGTCCCCCTAAACCTTGGCCTTTGCCTCATGCCTGGCACATTCAACCTTTGCTGACACCTCCACAGAAATACCAACCTCACCAACATCTGCAGAATGGGCCACCAGGGTCTGTCTGGAGCTTGGGTGGGATTTTCACTTGACTACAAATACACACACATACACCCTAGGCTTCCAGGTCTGCATTCTTGGCTGACTCTTCACACTTGAGTCCAAGACAGGTCAATGGTTAGTGGCTGGATTTGCAAGCATGTGTGTTTTTGGGCAGGATATCAGCTGGGGCAGTCTGAGAGGAAGTTGTCAAGGGAAGCTAAAGAGGAGGGAGTCAGTCACGTCTCTCTTCACCTGTTGCACTCTCTAAATTTTACTGTCCACTCCTAGGCCTGATCTAGAGGGCTGTCTAGTCTAGGGGAGACAAAGTTGGATGTATCTACTGCCAGCCCCATGGGGTCAGAACTACAGGGGAAGGATGGGGACTGTGGGATTCCAGAGGAACAACAGGGAGGGCTTCTTGGAGGAATGCTTTTTCTTGAGCTGAGTTTTTTTTTCTCTGTAGCTCAGTCTGAAATGCAGTGGCACAATCACTGCTCACTGCAGCCTTGACCTTCCATGCTCAATTGATCCTCCTACTTCAGGGTGGGACTACAGGCACATGCCACCACACACAGCTAATTTTTGTATTTTTTGTAGAGATGGGGTTACATCAGGTTGTTCAGGCTGGTCTCAAACTCCTGGGTTCAAGCAATCCTCCTGTCTTGGCCTCTCAGAGTGCTGGAATTGCAGGCATGAACCACCTCATCTGACCTGAGCTGAGTTCTGAAGTGTGAATAGGAGTTGGCTAGGTGAAGAAGGGAAAAAAGGACCTTCTAGACAGAAATATTTGTCAAAGATAGAGAGAAGTAGGCAGGAGCTGATTAGGGCAAGGTGTTTGAATGTCAGGCTGGATGCAGAAATTTTCTCACAAGGCCAATGTGGAACCATGGAGAATGTGTGAGCAAGGGAGGCCATGATTAGAGCTTGATCTCTCAGGGGCAGAGTGGGGGACAGCTTGGTTCTTCGGTGATGGGATCAGGAGAGTTCCGGTGTCATGGGGGGTCAGGAGAGTTAAGCCCTGCATCAACTCATCTGCACCTGTCACCTCGCACCAGAGTTGGTGGGGGACCTCCTGATGTTCTGGAGGGCCAAATAAGCCGTGGGATCCAGTGACTTACAGTGTGAGGTACAGACCAGCACAGAGAGGGTACCGCCCCAGGCTCTGCTCAGATGGACACAGCCCTGACCTCATCTCCAGCCTCCTGCCATCTCCACCCCAGCCCTGATAGTCCTGCTTTCCATGGTAGCCATGAGCTGCATGTTAAAATGATAAATCAGCCCCATCCCTTCTCTCCTCAAAACCCTCTCATAGCTCGTCTTTGCTCTTAGACTAAAACCCAGAGCCTCCTGCAGCTCAGAAGGCCCAGTGTGGCCCAGCCTCTGTGGCCTCTTGCCCTCCCCACCCACTCCAACCTCACTGCTGTTTCTCTCCCCCTTGGGATCCTTGTACCTGCTGTTTCTTCTGCATGGAATTCACTTCCTGTCTCAGCTCTAGGACATCAGTCCAGAAAGGCCCCCAACTTCCTGTCTCTCGGGGTTTCCCTGTCACGTGACCTCTGCACTAGCCATAGTGTCCCTATAACTAAAATTGAGACAGATTGAGAAAGGGCTTAGTTGAGCCTTCTATGCTCAAGAGACTCAGGCCCAAGATCAGCCCCAGTCCCTGCTCTCATGAGACCACATGCATAGGGGTCATTTGGGGGATTATCTTGGCACTGGGTCCTGTGGGTTGGTGTCACCTCCAGCCTCCAGGGACTCATCCTAGCCATGGGAATGTGTCCAATTCCTGCCCAGGATTAAAATTAGCCCTGGAGATTACATTTAGTAAGTCAAGCTGGAGGTCAGGGGCTGGAGCCCACAGCCTGGGCTCTGCAGAGCTGTGGCGGCTCAGAAACTCAGCCCAGAGAACATGGAGGTATGCTTAGGGTCACACAGTGGGCCACAAGTGCCACCTGAGATGTCAGATACTTGTGGGCCTGGGACACCTGGATGATGAAGGGTCCAGCATGGGCTGGAGCAGTGCCAGGGATTGGGGTTCTGAGAAGCATCTGTGGCCACTCCCAGAGAATGACCTGAATTTCCTGAGAGTTTGTTGCCAGGCCTTGTGGTGGGAGCTTGGCATTTCATGCCTGCCATAGAGGTCTGTTACCTGTCCCATTCACAGAACAGCACATAGAGGCCTAGAAATCAGCCTCCTATGCTGAGAACCACCTCAAGGGTCATAGAAGAGGCTGGGACCCAAGCATAGGCCCATGTGACTCTGGGGAGTCACTCATCTGAAGCCTCAAGTCATCTGTGACATGGCAGAGGCCGGGAGGTGGAGTGTATTCACACGGTTGGCAGAGCGGGGATGTCCCCTGGGGGTCTCAGGGGCCTGGGATGGCATGCCTGCTGCGGAACGGGCAACATGATTTCTTTCTATGGAGGAACCTTGCATGGGGGTGCCAGAGAAAGCCTTGTCCCTGCCGTGGCCCAGCAGCCTCCTGCTTCTGAGACCCCCACCGGGGGATCCAAGATTCCTTGAGGTGGGGTCCAGGGTTTCTCCTGAGTCACCAAGTGGACCCCTGGACCTAAACTCTGGTCTGAGGGCTCCAAGCCAGAGTCTTTCCAGGGAATCCCTGTACTCTCCCACTGGAACAGGGTGGGTTTCCATCATTCTCTTTTCAAAAACAAAAAAAAAAAATTAGCAGAAATAATTCACTGGTGGTTGGGGGGAATTGGAAGATTGAGATAATCAAAGAGTTAAAACAGGCTGGGCGTGGTGGCTCATGCCTCTAACCCCAGCACTTTGGGAGGCTGAGGCAGGCTGATCACCTGAGGTTGGGAGTTCGAGACCAGCCTGACCAACATGTAGAAACCCAGTCTCTACTAAAAATACGTAATTAGCCAGGTGTGGTGGTGCATGCCTGTAGTCCCAACTACTTGGGAGGCTGAGGCAGCATAATTGCTTGAACCTGGGAGGTGCAGGTTGCAGTGAGCCAAGATTGTGCCTTTGAACTCCACCCTGTGGGACAGAGAGAGACTCCATCTAAAAAAAAAAATTGGAAAAGTTGTTGGGAATATAATCCACACAAAAATATCCTCAATCACATTAGAGTGGCCAACATGCCAATTCAAGAAATTTAGAGTACCTTTGTGAAGTACTATACAGGACAACAATCACCAAGACACAGTTATCAGATTCTCCAAGGTCAACATGAAAATAAAAGCCTTAACGGAGTTAGAGGAAAGGGTCAGGTCACTTTCGAAGGGAACTCTATTAGGCTAACAGTAGACCTATCAGCAGAAACCTTACAATCCTTAAAATCTTAGGAGCCTATTTTCAGCATCCTTAAAGAAAATAAATTCCAACCAATAATTTCATATCCTGCCAAACTAAGCTTCATAAACAAAGAAGAAATAAAATCCTTTCCCGGCAAGCAAATGCTAAGAGAATTTGTTACCATTACACTAGCCTTACAAGAGGTTCTTTAGGAAAATGAAAAATAAAACCTGCTAACATAAAACACACTTAAATACATAGCCCAAAGACCATGTAAAGCAACTACACAGTTGAATCTACAAAACAACCAGCTAACAAAACAATGACAAGATACAAATCTCACATATCGATATTAACCTTGAATGTAAATGGTCCAAACACCCCACTTAAGAGGGACAGGTGGTAAGTTGGAAGACTCAACCATATACTGTCTTCAAGAGACCTATCTAATATGTAATGCCATCCATGGGATGAAAGGAAAAGGTTGGAGAAAGATCTCTCATACAAATGAAAAACAAAAAGACCAGAGGTTGCTATTGCTATGTCATATAAAACAGACTTTAAACCAAGAACAGTAAAAAAAAAATAAAGGGCATTACATAATGATGAAGCATTTAGTTCAACAAGAAGACATAAAAATCCTGAAAATATAGGCATCCAACATTAGGGCACTCTGATTCATAAAACAAATACTTCTAAACCTGCAAAAAGACTTAGACAGCCACACAATAATAGTGGGGGCGAGTTACTGGGTGCAGCACACAAACATGGCACGTGTATACATATGTAACTAACCTGCACGTTGTGCATATGTACCCTAAAATTTAAAGTATAATTTAAAAAAAATAGTGCTGGATTTGAACATCCCACTGACAGCTTTAGACAGATCAATCATTGTGATGAAAACTAACAAAGAAATTCTCTTTTTTAAAATGTATTATTATTATACTTTAAGTTTTAGGGTACATGTGCACAACGTGCAGGTTTGTTACATATGTATACCTGTGGCATGTTGGTGTGTTGCACCCATTAACTTGTCATTTAGCATTAGGTATATCTCCTAATGCTATCCCTCCCCCCTCCCCCCACCCCACAACAGTCCCCGGTGTGTGATGTTCCCCTTCCTGTGTCCATGTGTTCTCATTGTTCAATTTCCACCTATGAGTGAGAACATGTGGTGTTTGGTTTTTTGTCCTTAACGATAGTTTGCTGAGAATGATGGTTTCCAGCTTCATCCATGTCCCTATAAAGGACATGAACTCATCATTTTTTATGGCTGCATAGTATTCCATGGTGTATATGTGCCACATTTCCTTCATCCAGTCTATCATTGTTGGACATTTGGGTTGGTTCCAAGTCTTTGCTATTGTGAATAGTGCCACAATTAACATACGTGTGCATGTGTCTTTATAGCAGCATGATTTATAATCCTTTGGGTATATATCCAGTAATGGGATGGCTGGGTCAAATGGTATTTCTAGTTCTAGATCCCTGAGGAATGGCCATACTGACTTCCACAGTGGTTGAACTAGTTTACAGTCCCACCAACAGTGTAAAAGTGTTCCCATTTCTCCACATCCTCTCCAGCACCTGTTGTTTCCTGACTTTTTAATGATCACCATTCTAACTGGTGTGAGATGGTGTCTCATTGTGGTTTTGATTTGCATTTCTCTGATGGCCAGTGATGATGAGCATTTTTTCATGTGTTTTTTGGCTGCATAAATGTCTTCTTTTGAGAAGTGTCTGTTCATGTCCTTCGCCCACTTGTTGATGGGGTTGTTTGTTTTTTCTTGTAAATTTGTTTGAGTTCATTGTAGATTCTGGATATTAGCCTTTTGTCAGATGAGTAGGTTGCAAAAATTTTCTCCCATTCTGTAGGTTGCTTGTTCACTCTGATGGTGGTTTCTTTTGCTGTGCAGAAGTTCTTTAGTTTAATTAGATCCCATTTGTCAATTTTGGCTTTTGTTGCCATTCCTTTTGGTGTTTTAGACATGAAGTCCTTGCCCACGCCTAGGTCCTGAATGGTATTGCCTAGGTTTTCTTCTAGGGTTTTTATGGTTTTAGGTCTAACATGTAAGTCTTTAATCCATCTTGAATTAATTTTTGTATAAGGTGTAAGGAAGGGATCCAGTTTCAGCTTTCTACATATGGCTAGCCAGTTTTCCCAGCACCATTTATTAAATAGGGAATCCTTTCTCCATTGCTTGTTTTTGTCAGGTTTGTCAAAGATCAGATGGTTGTAGATATGCGGCATTAATTCTGAGGGCTCTGTTCTGTTCCATTGGATTATATCTCTGTTTTGGTACCAGTATCATGCTGTTTTGGTTACTGTAGCCTTGTAATATAGTTTGAAGTCAGGTAGCGTAATGCTTCCATCTTTGTTCTTTTGGCTTAAGATTGACTTGGCAACGCAGGCTTTTCTTTGGTTCCATTTGAACTTTAAAGTAGTTTTTTCCAATTCTGTGAAGAAAGTCATTGGTAGCTTGATGGGGATGGCATTGAATCTATAAATTACCTTGGGCAGTATGGCCATTTTCACGATATTGATTCTTCCTACCCATGAGCATGGAATGTTCTTCCATTTGTTTGTATCCTCTTTTATTTCATTGAGCAGTAGTTCATAGTTCTCCTTGAAGAGGTCCTTCACGTCCCTTGTAAGTTGGATTCCTAGGTATTTTATTTTCTTTGAAGCAATTGTGAATGGGAGTTCACTCATGATTTGGCTCGCTGTTTGTCTGTTATTGGTGTATAAGAATGCTTGTGATTTTTGCACATTGATTTTGTATCCTGAGACGTTGCTGAAGTTGCTTATCAGTTTAAGGAGATTTTGGGCTGAGACGATGGGGTTTTCTAGATATACAGTCATGTCATCTACAAACAGGGACAATTTGACTTCCTCTTTTCCTAATTGAATGCCCTTTATTTCTTTCTCCTGCCTGATTGCCCTGGCCAGAACTTGCAACACTATGTTGAATAAGAGTGGTGAGAGAGGGCATCCCTGTCTTGTGCCAGTTTTCAAAGGGAATGCTTCCAGTTTTTGTCCATTCAGTATGATATTGGCTGTGGGTTTGTCATAGATAGCTCTTATTATTTTGAGATACGTCCCATCAATAACTAATTTATTGAGAGTTTTTAGCATGAAACGTTGTTGAATTTTGTCAAAAGCCTTTCCTGCATCTATTGAGATAATCACGTGGTTTTTTTCATTGGTTCTGTATATATATTGGATTATGTGTGTTGATTTGCATACGCTGAACCAGCCTTGCATCCCAGGGATGAAGCCAACTTGATCTTGGTGGATAAGCTTTTTGATGTGATGCTGGATTTGGTTTGCCAGTATTTTATTGAGGATTTTTGCATCGATGTTCATCGGGGATATTGGTCTAAATTTCTCTTTTTTTGTTGTGTCTCTGTCAGGCTTTGGTATCAGGATGATGCTGGCCTCATAAAATGAGTTAGGGAGGATTCCCTCTTTTTCTATTGATTGGAATAGTTTCAGAAGGAATGGTACCAGCTCCTCTTTGTACCTCTGGTAAAATTCGGCTGTGAATCCATCTGGTCCTGGACATTTTTTGGTTGGTAGGCTATTAATTATTGCCTCAATTTCAGAGCCTGTTATTGGTCTATTCAAGGATTCAAGTTCTTCCTTGTTTAGTCTTGTGAGGGTGTATGTGTCGAGGAATTATCCGTTTCTTCTAGATTTTCTAGTTTATTGCATAGAGGTGTTTATAGTATTCTCTGATGGTAGTTTGTATTTCTGTGGGATCGGTGGTGATATCCCCTTTATCATTTTTTATTGTGTTTATTTGATTCTTCTCTCTTTCCTTCTTTATTAGTGTTGCTAGTGGTCTCTCTATTTTGTTGATCTTTGCAAGAAACCAGCTCCTGGATTCATTGATTTTTTGAAGGCTTTTTGTGTCTCTATTTCCTTCAGTTCTGCTCTGATTTTAGTTATTTCTTGCCTTCTGCTAGCTTTTGAATGTGTTTGCTCTTCTTTCTCTAGTTCTTTTAATTTTGATGTTAGGGTATCCATTTTAGATCTTTCCTGATCTCTCTTGTGGGCATTTAGTGCTATAAATTTCCCTCTACACACTGCTCTATATGTGTCCCAGAGATTCTGGTATGTTGTGTCTTTGTTCTCTTTGGTTTCAAAGAACATCTTTATTTCTGCCTTCATTTCATTATGTACCCAGTAGTCATTCAGGAGCAGGTTGTTCAGTTTCCATGTAGTTGGGCAGTTTTGAGTGAGTTTCTGAATCCTGAGTTCTAATTTGATTGCACTGTTGTCTGAGAGACAGTTTGTTGTGATTTCTGTTCTTTTACATTTGGTGAGTAGTGCTTTACTTCCAACTATGTGGTTAATTTAAGTATAAGTGAGATGGGTTGCTGAGAAGAATGTATATTCTGTTGATTTGGGGTACAGAGTTCTATAGATGTCTGTTAGGTCCCCTTGGTGCAGAGCTGAGTTCAAATCGTGGATATCCTTGTTAACTTTCTGTCTCGTTGATCTGTCTAATGTTGACAATGGGGTGTTAAAGTCACCCATTATTATTGTGTGGGAGTCTAAGTCTCTTTGTACATCTCTAAGGATTGGCTTTGTGAATCTGTGTGCTCCTGTATTGGGTGCATATATATTTAGGATAGTTAGCTCTTCTTGTTGAATTGATCCGTTTACCATTATGTAATGGCCTTCTATGTCTCTTTTGATCTTTGTTGGCTTAAAGTCTGTTTTTCCTGAGACTAGGATTGCAACCCCTGTTTTTTTTGTTTTTTTTTTGTTTTCCATTTGCTTGGTAGATCTTCCTCCATTCCTTTATTTTGAACCTATATGTGTCTCTGCATGTCAGATGGGTCTCCTGAATACAGCACACTGATGGGTCTTGACTCTTTATCCAATTTGCCAGTCTGTGTCTTTTAATTGGAACATTTAGCCCATTTACATTTAAGGTTAATATTGTTACGTGTGAATTTGATCCTGTCATTGTGATGTTAGCTGGTTATTTTGCCCACTAGTTGATGCAGTTTCTTCCTAGCATCGATGGTCTTTTCAATTTGGCATGTTTTTGTAGTGGCTGGTACTGGTTGTTCTTTCTGTGTTTACTGCTTCCTTCAGGAGCTCTTGTAGGGCAGGCCTGGTGGTGACAAAATCTCTCAGCATTTGCTTGTCTATAAAGGATTTTCTTTCTCCTTTACTTATGAAGCTTAGTTTGACTGGATATGAAGTTCTGTATTGAAAATTCTTTTCATTAAGAATGTTGAATATTGGCCCCCACTCTCTTCTGGCTTGTAGAGTTTCTGCTGAGAGATCCGCTGTTAGTCTGATGGGCTTCCCTTTGTGGGTAACCCGACCTTTCCCTCTGGCTGTCCTTAACCTTTTTTCCTTCATTTCAACCTTGGTGAATCTGATAATTCTGTGTCTCAGGGTTGCTCGTCTCATAGAGTATCTTTGTGGTGTTCTCTGTATTTCCCGAATTTGAATGTTGGCCTGCCTTGCTAAGTTGTGGAAGTTTTCCTGGATAATATTCTGAAGAGTGTTTTCCAACTTAGTTCCATTCTCCCCATCAATTTCAGGTACAGCAATCACAAGTAGATTTGGTCTTTTCACATAGCCCCATATTTCTTGGAGGCTTTGTCCATTTCTTTTTACTCTTTTTTCTCTAAACATCTCTTCTCACTTCATTTCATTCATTTGACCTTCAATCACTGATCCCCTTTCTTCCACTTGATCAAATCGGCTTGTGCATGCGTCACGTAGTTCTTGTGCCATTGTTTTCACCTCCATTTGGTCATTTAAGGTCTTCTCTACGCCGTTTATTCCAGTTAGCCATTCATCTAATCTTTTTTCAAGGTTTTTAGCTTCCTTGCAATGGGGTCGAACATCCTCCTTTAGCTTGGAGAAGTTTGTTATTACCAACCTTCTGAAGCCTACTTCTGTCAACTCATCAAAGTCATTCTCCATCCAGCTTTGTTCCATTGCTGTGGAGGAGCTGTGACACTTTGGAGGAGAAGAGGTGCAGTGGTTTTTAGACTTTTCAGCTTCTCTGCTCTGGTTTCTCTCCATCTTTGTCATTTTATCTACCTTTGGTCTTTGATGATGGTGACCTACAGATGGGGTTTTGGTGTGGATGTCCTTTTTGTTGATGTTGATGCTATTGCTTTTGTTTGTTAGTTTTCCTTCTAACAGATTCCTCAGCTGCAAGTCTGTTGGAGTTTGCTGGAGGTCCACTCCAGACCCTGTTTGCCTGGGTATCACTGGCAGAGGCTTCAGAACAGCAAATATTGCAGAACAGCAAATGTTGCTGCCTGATCCTTCCTCTGGAAGCTCTGTCTCAGAGGGGCACCTGGCTGTATGAGGTGTCAGTTGACCCCTACTGGGAGATGTCTCTCAGTTAGGCTACTTGGGGGTCAGGGACACACTTGAGGAGGCAGTCTGTCCATTCTCAGAGCTTAAACTCCATTCTGTGGGAACCACTGTTCTCTTCAGGGCTGTCAGACAGGGAAGTTTAAGGCTGTAGAAACTTCTGCTGTAGAAAGTTTCTGCTGCCTTTTGTTCAGCTATGCCCTGCCCCTAGAGGTGGAGTCTACAGAGGCAGGCAGTCCTCGTTGAGTTGTGGTGGGCTCCACCCAGTTCAAGCTTCCCAGTGGCTTTGTTTACCTAGTCAAGCCTCAGCAATGGTGGATGCCCCTCCCCCAGCCTGTCTGCTGCCTCCCAGTTCGATCTCAGACCGCTGCACTAGCAGTGAGCAAGGCTCCATGGGTGTGTGATCCTCCGAGCCAGGTGTGGGATATAATCTCGTGGTGTGCCATTTGCTAAGACTGTTGGAAAAGTGCAGTATTAGTGTGGAAGTGTCCCAATTTTCCAGGTACCATCTGTCATGGCTTCCCTTGGCTAGGAAAGGGAAATCCCCCAACCCCTTGTACTTCCTGGATGAGGTGATGCCCCACCCTGCTTCAGCTCACCCTCTCCGTGGGCTACACCCACTGTCCAACCAGTTCCAGGTACTTCAGTTGGAAATGCAGAAATCATCTGTCTTCTGTGTTGATAGTGCTGGAAGCTGTAGACCAGAGCTGTTCCTATTTGGCCATCTTGGTGCCTCCCCTTGTTTTTTTTTTTTTTTTTTTTTTTTTCTGATTTCAACTTGACAGCAGAACTCAACCATGCTGATGGTGCAGATGCATGTTGGTGGGAACTTTTCATTGTTTGATTCTGACATTTATGATAAATGGATTCACTTACTAAAGTTTTGTAGAGAGAGTAATAACCATTTAATCACCTAGATGATATTTCCTTTATAAAATCAAACATATCTGGTGGTTTTAGAGCAATATTTTTTACCTCAGTCACTTGTGTTTATTAGACAAGAATACTAAGTGTCAAGATGTTTGCATTGCCTTTCATATTTTTATTTAGGGGACAGTGTAATGATAAATGACTTTGAATATATAACCAGACACACCTTCATCCCCCCACCAAATCTGTGCTAATTTACTGTTTTTTATATTTCATGCATGAAGCTAAATTTTTTTTACCCATGGATTACAGCAAAATGATGCAATGATACCTGAATCCTGGCCAAATAACATGAAATGGCAACTGCAAAATTGTTCTGCAAAATTTTACAAGGTATTATGGTATTGAGGATATCCCAAGAAAACTTGAGAGGCATTATCTTTCTCATTGGAGACTGACATTCCTGTATCAAGTAAAGTCTCAGGAAAAAGAACCACATGTGACTATTTTAATGCAACCTCTTGGTTGAAATAAAATGACTAAAAGCAGTGTTTATCTTGTTGATAACTGAGAGGCAAATGTTAAAAATTTTGTTCTGAGATGAAGAGAGTTCACATGATAAGTCTCTGGGATGTGAACTAAACTGGGAAAGCACCAGGACCATTTCTGAGACATACAGTTAATTAGGGTTTGGATAAACAGAATAATGTTCCCCACTCCCTAAAAAAGATATTTACATCCAAGTTCTTAGATACTGGAAATAATATATTACAATTCATGGCAAAGAGAATATAAGGTTGCAAATGGGATCAAAATTGCTGATATGCTGATGAAAAATAGGAAGACTATTATGAATTATCATGGTGGGCCCAGTAGAATCATAAGCATCAAAAACCATGGAAGAGTGAAGAATAAACCGTATCAAAGTGATAGATCATGAGAAAGACTCAATTGGATATATTTTTAATTGTTTGCTTTAGTGAGTCTTTCCACTTTAGCATACATTTTATTCAATTCAACTCTGCAAATGTGATTCATTTTATATGCCTGTCACTGAATTGGGTGTTAAAAATAAAATGAGAGAACACAAAATAACAAAAATTGATTTCTAAAGATGGAGGGCAAAGGGCATTAAGAATATAGATAGTGTGCACCCTATACAGGCATGATTGTAAATGTATTCATTATATATAGAGAGTAATAATTATATATATATGTATATAATTATTTGGCTTAGAAAAGAGTGCAGGAGGTACATTATCAAGAATTTAGCATCAAGGTTAATCAAGAATAAGTGAGTAAAATAAAAATAATAATGATGGTAATAATTTCAAACACTGAAGAAAGAACATTGATGATATGAAGTCATTTTTTTTCAGATCTACAAAATAGGTTTCTTCTATGCCATTAGGATGAACACAGTTTTCACTTATGTTATCTTTTAAAAATACCTTTAATTGTCAAGCTAGCATTAGAATCTCAGCCAACATCTTCCATCTTCTCTTCCACATTTTTACATTCTTTCAGGATCACAGGCCTAAGACCCATGACCTGGTCACCTGTCATTTGGCCTTTGTCCACCTAGTAATGCTCTTCACTGCAATGGAGTTTTTGTCTCCAGACATGTTTGAGTCACTGAATTTTCAGAATAACTTTAGATGTAAAGCTTTCTTTCTTTTTTTTTTTTTTTTTGGAGACAGAGTCTCTCTCTGTTGCCCAGGCTGGAGTGCAGTGGCGCGATCTCAGCTCACTGCAAGCTCCACCTCCCGGGTTCACGCCCCACGCCATTCTCCTGCCTCAGCCTCCCAAGTGGCTGGGACTACAGGCGCCTGCCACCACGCCCGGCTAATTTTTTTTGTATTTTTTAGTAGAGACGGGGTTTCACCGTGTTAGCCAGGATGGTCTCGATCTCCTGACCTCGTGATCCACCCACCTCGGCCTCCCAAAGTGCTGGGATTACAGGCGTGAGCCACCGCGCCCGGCCTAAAGCTTTCTTCTATTTGCACAAGGTGATGAGGGGCCTCTCCATCTGCACCACCTGCCTCCTGAGCATGCTCCAGGCCATTACCATCAGCCTCAGCACCTCCTGGTTGGTTAGATTTAAACATAAATTTACAAAATACGATATCCTGGGCTTATTCGTTTTTTGGTTTAGCAATTTGTCTTTCAGTAGTGACATGATAATCTACACTGTAGGTTATTCCAATGACCCAGATAATTTTGAATATCAGCAAATATTGCACATTTTTCCCAATGAATGTCCTCATCAGGACGCTATTTCTTATGCTGTCATTATCCAGAGATGCCTTCTTCATAGGAATCACGCTGCTCTCAAGTGTATACATGGTCATTCTTTTGTCCAGGCATCAGAGGCACTCCCAGCACTTTCACAGCAGCAGCCTTATATTAAGGACTTCTCTAGTGAAAATGGCCACCAAGACCATCCTGATGCTGGTGAATTCCTTTGTGCTGATGTACTCAGTGGACTTCATCCTCTCATCATCCACAATGCTGTTATGGGTAATTGGCCCTGTCACCTATGGTGTCCACAAGTTTGTGGTCAATGCCTATGCCACTGTCAGTCCTCTGGTGCTAATCAGATCTGATAAAAGAATCATCAATATTCTGCAAAAGTTTCAATGGAAGTGCCATCTATTTTTAACAAGTTGGTGATAAAATTTTCTAAAAATTATTTCTTTGTAATCAATTAAATTATACAAAAAGCACATAATTTTCTTTCTGATTTAAATAAAACATGTGAATTGTACTTTTATAATATCTCAATATCTTTTAATTTTTTGGTGCCAAGAACTGTGTGCTTTCCTCAGTTCAATGTCCACTATGATTTTGTATTCTCAAGGTCTGTCTCTCACCCCTTCATTTTAATTTTACCTTTATACAGGAAAATGTTATTTTCTTCTTGAGTACACTCTTATGCGGCTCCTATTGGCAAGCAAATCTCTTAGTTTTAATTTTTGAAATTATTTTAATTTTTCTTATTTATTGAAGATATTTAGCTATATTCAAATTCTAGCTTGAATAAAAAAATTTTTAAGCATAATTTTAAAATTTGTTTTTAATTGAAAATAACATTGTGTAAGTTTATTATGTATGTTTTGAATTACATATAGATTATAAAATGATTAAATCTAGCTAATTAACAAATGCATGATCTAAAAGTTATTGTTTTTTGTGGTGAAAACAGTTAACATCAACTACCTTTTCATTTTTCAGGACTGCAATATATCATAATTAAGTATGGCTGCCGTGCTGCATAGCAGATCTTGTAAAATATATTTCTTCTATCTAATAATAATTATGTTTCCTTTGACCAACATCTTTCCATCCTGTCCTCCACCACCGCAGGCTCTGGTAACCACCATTCTCCTCTCTACTTCTAAGAGATAAGCTTGTTTAGATTCCACATTTAATAAATTCCTGTCTTATTTGTCTCTCTATGTCTGGCTTATTTCACTTAACATAATGTCCTTCAGGTTCATCTATGTTGTCTTAAATGGCAGAATTTTATTCTGCCATTTATTTTATTATGCCATATATTTGTGGCCAAATAGCATTTCATTATGTTTACATACCATGTTGTCTTATCCATTTATTCTTCGATGGGCACTGTGATTGATTCCATATCTTGGCCATTGTCAATAGTGCTGTAATAAACATGGGAGTGTAGCTATCTCTTTAACATACTGATTTTATTTCTTTTGGCTATATGCCCAGTGGTGGAATTGCTGGAACATACAGTAGTTCCATTTTAGGTTGAGAAACTTCCATACTTGTTTTTCATAGTGGCTGTATTAATTTGTATTCAAACCAACAGTTTATAAGAGTTCCCTTTATTCCACATCCTTGCTAACACTTGTTCTCTTTTGTCATTTCGATTATGGCCATTCTACTTAAGATAAGGTAATGTCTGGTATTGTTTTGATTTGCATCTCCCTGGAGGTGATAAACACCAAGACAAAGAAACTGGGAGATACAAGAGGACAGAAATGACTCAGTGATAGACACCATGGAGTCTCATCCACAATCGGCACACTCTGATCCTCTAACCAAATGACAAGCCACAGTTCAACTACTCCTTTTAAAGAAAAATGAGAAAACATATCTCTAAAATCGAGGACAGGCAAGGAGAGTGTCCCCCTTTGGGCACCCCAGCTGGTTTTATGTGTGATAATTATAGCACCTCTTCTTACAAACATTTATGTAAAGGGAGGATTTTACTAAGGACGACCAACATCTAAGGTTCCCAAAGTGAAGAACTTTAAATATTCCCAAACTGGTCTTCTCGTATGCTAAATTAGAGAAGTTAGGTTTCTGCATCAAGGAAAATAAATGAGGGTTGTATTTTAGCTGGCACCTAAAAACATCCAAAAGTAGAAATGATAAACTTATTTCTTTCCAGAAAGGTAACAACAAAATATTTGAAACTACCTCAGAATTAAAGAAAAGTAGCAAAATCAGCTTCTAAAATCAGGAAGCTGCCAGAAACTGTCTCTTCTTTTTCTTCTCCTAAACCTCTGCTTTCTAAACTTCCTTGCCTGGATGATTTCATTTTTTTTCTCTTTCTCCTCCCTGTATTCCTTCTTAAACCACAAAGGGTCCAGAAATAGCTACAGGAGAAGATAAAATAGTAGTCATTTCTTTTAAAACAAAACCCACAGGAAGAGTGGGTTCAAACATAAGATATACACCTTACACCAAGTCAGAATTAAGTGCTCTGATGTTTGGATTTCCTGATCTGACTCAAGACACCTTAGGTTTGCCAAGGAATTCCAAATAATGCTTAAGACCTATGATTCAGGGTTTTCAAACCAATATCAGCTAACTGATTTACTAGTCCTCCAAAACAAAGCCAAAGAGTGCTACAAAGTAGTGAATTAGAAACAGCTTTAGCAGATTTTAACAAACTAAAGTGCAAATGGGAGAGAGAAGTGTAGGGAGTTTTGCAACTGCCTCTGTGGGAATTTACCACAGCTATTCCCCCTAATCCTACAGACTAGGCAAAATACAACAATGTAATATATACCCCAGCAAAACCATACCTGATTATTATATCACATTTATTTTTATTTTTTGTGGGTATACAGTAGTTGTGTGTATAAATGGGGTATATGAGATACTTTGATACAGGCATGCAACATGTAACAATCACAGCATGGTAAATGGGGTATCCATCTCCTCAAGCATTTACTCTGTATTACAAAAATTGAATTATATGATTTCAGTTATTTTAAAAGGTACAACTAAATTATTATTGATTATAATAATTGTCAATTATTGACAATTGCAGTGTTGTGGTATCAAGTACTACTGTTGTGCTACCAGTACAAACTGTGTTATCAGTACAAATACTACTGTTGTGCTATCAGCACAAATACCCTGTTGTGCAATCAAATAGTACCTCTACCTCTTATTCATTCTTTTTAACTATTTCTTGTACCCATTAGCCATCCTCACTTCCCTCCATGGCCCTACCAAACTGCCCCCCTACTATGCTTCTCAGCCTCTGGTAACCATCCTTCTACTCTCTATCTCCGTTGAATTCAACTCAATGGGATCCTTAGCGCCCATAAATAAATGAGAACATGCAAAGTTTGTCTTTCTGTGCCTGGCTTATTTCATTTAACATAATAACCCTCATCCATGTTGTTAAAAATGACAGAATCTCATTCTTTTTTTCTGGCTCCACTGTGTATACATACTACATTTTCTTTATCCATTCATCTGTTGATTGACACTTACGTTGCTTCCAAATCTTGGCTATTTTCAACAATGCTGCAACAAACATGGGAATGTAGACATCTCTTCAACATACTGAGTTCCTTTCTTGTGAGTATATACTTAGCAGTGAAATTGCTGGATTATATGGAAGCTCTAGTTTAGTTTTATGAGGAACCTCCAAGCTGTTTTCCATAGTGGTTGTACTAATTTACATTTCCACCAACAGTGTACCAGGCTTCCCATTTCTCCACATTCTCACTAGCATTTGCTGTTGCCTGACTTTTGGACAAAATTCATTTTAACTGGGATAAGATGATATCTCATTGTAGTTTTGATTTGCATGTTTCTGATAATATAACTGCTTGCAATTCATATGCCTTCTTTTAAGAAATGTTTATTGAAATATTTTGCCCATTTTAAAGATCAGATTACTAGATTTTTTTCCTATACAGTAGTTTGAGCTGCTTATCTGTTCTAGTTATTAATCTTTTGTCAGGTGAATAGTTTGCAAATATGTTCTCCTATTCTGTGGGTTGTCTCCTCACTTTATTGATCATTTCCTTTGACATGCAGAAGATTTTTAACTTGATGTAACTTCATTTGTCCATATTTGCTTTGGTTGCCTGTGCTTGTGGGGTATTACTCAAGACATTTTTGCCAAGACCTGGAGAGACTTTCCCCAATGTTTTCTTGCAGTAGTTTTTTAATTCGAGGTCTTAGATTTAAGTATTTAATCCGTTTTGATTCGACTTTTGTATATGGCAAGAGTTGGGGTTATAATTTCATTCTTTTGCATGTAGATATCCAGTTTCCAAGCATGATTTATTGAAGAGATTGTCTTTTCCCTAATTTAAGTTCTTGGCACCTTTGTTGAAAATGAGTTCAGTGAAAATGTGTAAAATTTTTTTCTGGGTTATCTGTTCAATTCCATTGGTTTATGTGTCTATTTTTATGCCAGTACCAGGCTGCTACAGTTACTATAGCTTTGTAATATAATTTGAAGTCAGTTAATGTGATTCCTGCATTTAATCTGTGAATTGCTTTGGGTAATATAGACATTTTAATATACTAACACTATCAATCCATGAACATGGAATATCTTTCAATTTTTGTGTCTTCAATTTATCTTATGATTGTGTTATAGTTTTTGTTGTAGAAATCCTTTACTTCTTTGGTTGATTTCTATGTATTTAGTTCTATTTGTGGCTATGATAAATGGTATTTCTTTTTAAATTCTTTTTCAGATTGTTCACTCTTGGCATATAGAAATGTTACTGATTCCTGCCGGGCGCGGTGGCTCACGCCTGTAATCCCAGGACTTTGGGAAGGTGAGGTGGGCAGATCACGAGGTCAGGAGATCAAGACCATACTGGCTAACACGATGAAACCCCGTCTCTACTAAAAATACAAAAAAAGTTAGCCAGGCGTGATGGTGGGTGCCTGTAGCCCCAGCTCCTCGGGAGGCTGAGGCAGGAGAATGGTGTGAACCCAGGAGGCAGAGCTTGCAGTGAGCCAAGATTGCACCACTGCACTCCAGCCTGGGAGACAAAGTGAGACTCTGTCTCAAAAAAA
The DNA here is from genome assembly GCF_000001405.40 of Homo sapiens. Classification (NCBI taxonomy): domain Eukaryota; kingdom Metazoa; phylum Chordata; class Mammalia; order Primates; family Hominidae; genus Homo; species Homo sapiens. The sequence continues at coordinate 10,363,280 of NC_000021.9, forward strand.
AAAAAAAAAAGATACTGATTTTTATATATTGATTTGTATCCTGAAACTCTACTGAATTTATCAGTTCTAGTAGTTTTTGTGGAGTCTTCAGGTTTTTTACAAATATAAGATTATATCATCTGCAAAACAAAGATAATTTGTCTTCTTCCCTTTAGATGCCCTTTATTTCTCTCTCTTGTCTGATTGCTTTTGCTAGGACTTCCAGTACTATGGAGAATAACAGTGGTGAAAGTGGGCATCCTGGTCATGTTCCAGATCTTAGAGAAGGGGATTTCAGTGTTTCCCTTGTCAGTATGATACTAGCTGTGGGTATGTCATATATGGCTTTCATTATGTTAATAATGTTCTTTCTCTACCCAGGTTTCTGAGGGTTTTTAATCATGATGGGATGTTGAATTTTATCAAATGCTTTTTTAAAATGTCTTAATTTAAATGATTATATAATCTTTTCCTTCATTTTGGTGATGTGATGTATCATTTGGATTGATTTGCAACCATTCTTGCATCCTTGTGATAAATCACACATGATCATGAAGAATGATATTTTTAATATATTGCTTAAAGGTTTGCTAGCATTTTGTTGAGGATTTTTGCATCAATATTAATTGGAGATATTGTAGTTTTCTTTTTTTAAAGTGTCTTTGATTTTGGTATAAAGGTAATTCTGGTGTTATAGAATGAGTTTGGAAGTATTCCCCATCTGTATTTTGTGGAATAGTTTCAGTAGGATTGGTGTTAGTTCTTTAAATATTTGTTAGAATTCAGTAGTGAAGCCATAGAATATTGGGGCTTTTCTTTTCTGGGAGACTTTTTATTACAGCTTTGTTCTCATTATTTGTTATTGGTCTGTTCATGTTTTGTATTTCTTTGTGTTTCAATTTTGGTGTGTTTCTTGGCCCTAGTCTGGTCCACTCAGACCTGCTCCATGCTCACCATCAGGCAGCTGGTGGTCCTTTTTGAGGAGTGAGTGCAGCAGGGACCAGTGGTTGGGCTGAAGCCCCTTCACCTCATGCGGACTCTCCAATACTCATTGAACTTCATGGTGAGGGACAGAGGACCCACCCTGGCTCTCAGCGGGAGAGCAGGGAATTCTTGTTCAAGGAAGCCCCTGGGGCAGCCGCAGAGGCAGCCCTTGGGAAAAAGCGCCCAAGGCCCCCCTCAACCGGCCATCCTGCCTCCTCTGCAGGACCTTCTCTTCCCCTCTTTCCCTCCCTCCTGAGGTGAAAAGGAGGGGAGGAGACCACGGAGCCCTCTGTGTCAGGGAAACCTGGCCCTTCCTTTTGAGCGTTCAGGGGACTCGCATGGGCCTTGCCCCTTCTCCAGGACCTGGAAGCTTCTCTCTCTGAAGAGCCCTGAGTTCCAGTCTCAAGTGTCTCATTCCCCATTGCCTCCTGCTTCTCCTTTCATCCCCCCCACCACCACCTGGGGCTCACACTCCCTGCCTTTGGGCTTCAAATGTTGTACTACGTGCTTGACCCACTAGCCTGCTTAATCTTCAAAATCACTCTATCAAAAAGACATTTTAGGCTGGGCATTGTGGCTGAAGCCTGTAATCCCAGCACTTTGGGAGACCCAGATGGGCTGATTACTTGAGTGTATGAGTTACAGACCAGCCTGGGAAACATAACAAGATCCTGTCTCTACAAAAATAGAAAAAAATTAGTGGAGTGCTGTGGCACATGTCTGTAATCCCAACTACTTGGGAGGCTGAGGTGGGAAGATTGCTTGAGTCTGGGATGTCGAGGCTGCAGTGAGCTGAGATCACGTCACTGCACTCCAGCCTGGGTAACAGACTGAGACCCTGTCTCAAAATAAAAATAAAAATAATTTAAAAAGCGAAATTGCCAAAATCATTCATTTAACCAATAAGATGAGCACCTACCTATCAGGGACAATAAAAGTTTAAAGGTGCCAACAATTATGAAGGCAGTATTGAATTTACTTGAAATATGAAGAACACCACATTGGGTGAACTTAGATAGGAAGGCCAAGGAGATATTCCTAGGAATATCATTATATATGGAAAACACTGAAAAAAGACACTGCAGTGTTTGAGAAAATAATGGCCATAGAAAGAGATTTCATGGACCTTCCAGCTTATGAAAAAATCAACTGAAATTGCTCGACATTAGGTTAGAACATTAAAAAGGAAAATAAGCCATTATAGAAGGAGAGAATTGGAATAGGGGACAGGAATGACCCATTTCCCAGTCTCTGCCTAGAACAGGGCTGGGGAAAAATCTGTGGTCATCACATTCACCATTGCATAAACACATATTCTTTCTATATGTCAGCAAGGAGCAAGTGCTACCAAGACAAGGCAAGGAAAAGGAATAGAGAATATTGCTGGGTGCTTTTCTGTAGGGTGATCAGGAAAGGCCTCACTGAAAAAGAGACATTAGAGCAGAGCAAGTGACAGAGAGAGAGTCATAGAGAGATCTGTGGGAAGAGCATTCCACGTGAGGGCAACAGACACTGCAAAGGCCCTGAGGCAGGGAGTGCTTGGCATGTCTGAGGAGCCAGAAAAAGGCCAGTGGGGCTGGAATGGAGTGAGTGAGAAGTAATAGGTGCAGAACACACATGGCCTTAGAGATCATGGCTCTAGGTGTTTTGTTTTATTTTCCAATTTTTAAAATTGTGTTAAAATACACATAACATAAGCGTCTGGGATCCCGCAGGATGCTGGCCCCAAACAGGCCAATTTGTCCTGTCTCTGTGGGATTTGTTGGTTCTAGAAGATCAGATTTGGTCTGGGTCACCCAAATCTGTCTGTACCCCAACCTCCACTGTCTGCTCTTACCTCCCTAGGTGTTGGCTCAGGTACTGGGCAAACTTTACCAGGAATATATACATTGTGTGGAATTTCTTAGCTTCCATTTCAACAAAGTTGAAACTTCGGGGAAATGATTTGCCAAGGGTTACAACTTGGGGAAAATGATGATAGTTTGCTTTACAAATTGCTCTAGTTAACCAATAAAAGTATGGCATGCCTACCCAGGTACAGTGGAATTCGAGGTAAACAGCAGAACAGATGCATGCTCAGGTACATTTGAGTTGGAGATAAACAGCAAAACAGATGCGTGCTCAGGTACACTTGAATTCGAGGTGAACAGCAGTATGCATGCGTGCCCAGCTACACTTGAATTCGAGATAAACAGCAGAAAAGATGCGTGCCCATGTACACTTGAATTTGAGATAAACAGCAGTATGGATGCATGCTCAGGTACACTTGAATTCAAGGTGAACGGCAGCACGATGTGTGCCCAGCTACACTTGAGTTCGAGGTAAACATCAGCACGATGCATGCCCAGATACACTTGAATTCGAGATAAACAGCAGAACAGATGCGTGCTCAGGTACACTTGATTTCAAGGTGAACAGCAGCACGAGGCATGCCCAGATAACACTTGAATTCGAGATAAACAGGAGAACAGATGTGTGCTCAGCTACACTTGAATTCGAGGTGAACAGCAGTATGCATGCATGCCCAGATACACTTGAATTCAAAGTAAACAGCAGCCCAGGTACGCTTGAATTCAAGGTTAACAGCTGTATGCATGTGTGCCCAGCTACACTTGAATTTGAGATCAACAGCAATATTGAATTTTCTACCAAAAATGCATATGCTCTGTCTCTGAATAAATGTGCAAGAAATGAAAGTTCTACATGCCCAACAACTCTTTGCTTCCATTTCCTTACGGTCATGAAGCCACACCTGCCTGGAGCTACTAATCTATTTCCTGAGCATCAGAACCCTCTTGCTCATTTGGGGAATCCATCTCCCTGCAGTTGACCTGTGGACCTCCAGCATCCCTGGGCAGCCTGAGGACCCTAAACCCTGTAGTTCAGTTTATGACACGCAGGCTTGGAGGAATTTCCCTCCATAAGGCTGCTGTGAACTCCCACGCCAGGAGAAATTAAAATTTGTAATACAGCGGAGATCTCTGAATGAGCTTTTCTCCCTGATACATGTCAGCGAACTCAGTGTGTCTTTGGAAATCCGGAAACCTCCTTTTCTCAGTTCAGGCTGCCTGCATCATGCTGGTTTGCTTCCTGCAACAAAACAGATCATCCAGACACCTCTCTGTTTTCCTTCGGATATTCCCCACACTACCACGCCATTCGTGGGCAGGACCTCAGTGCCTGAGGTCAGAATAGAGACACCTCTGACATCCCATGGCTGTACCCACAAATAACCCTTCCTCGGCAGTCGCTGAAGCCACACCTCTACACAGCTGTCTGTTGTCTTACAGTGGCATAAGCATAAAACAGATTTTTTTTTGACATGTATTATAGCACCTGCTGGCTTTATTTCCCTCCCTTATACCATAATATTGCTTGTTGATTTGTATCAACGGATTTGCATCTTCTGCCCGCCACACACACACACACACACACACACACAGACACATCCACCCCACTCCCCCCACTAGTGACTAGGTACACTTGAATTCGAAGTAAATAGCACACACAAGAGATATGTCCAGCACGTGATTTTCACAGGCCTGATTTCACAGCGGTGCTGGAGGCAAACCTCGCAGCCTCTAGCCTGTGCAGACCGCATCATGACAAATTGTATAAATATGTGCAAATTGTCCAGATGATGTCATGTGTGCCCCAGCCTGCTCTCCAAGTGGGCAGAACGCTTCAGGGAAGGTCAGGGCAGGCCTTGCTCTGAATTCAATTGAGGTAATTGCATTCAATTTGCTTAAATGTATCACAGAGAAAAGCCCTGTCTGTTGATCTCAATCGTATTAAGAAGTTTATTTTCCGCCAGGGCCGGACTCCACGGCCTCACGGAGAGGAAGCCTTCTCTCGGTTATGTCCTTCTTTCTCCTGCTTGATTCCAGGTCCTGGGGGCAGCCCTGGGAATGCCAGAGAGGGCCCCCCGCCCCCGCCACAAGAAATACCTTATGGCTCTCTCCCTAGCCACCTGCAGGGCTCGGAATGGCCGCAAATAAGCATGAGGATTTCTGTGCTTAGGGAATAGTTTGTCAGCTCTTTGCAGGTGTGATTTGACGATGCCAGTGAGTGAACAGAGCCTGAGGTTTCACCCCAAAAGATCGTTCTGTGGTTTGCCTACCATGATTCAACAGCCCAGGATCTGCTCGGGCACAGACAACCTGAAGTGTAAAGAGGCTCCTGAGAGCCGGGTCCCAGCTCGGCCCCAGACACCCCCTCTGCACCGACCCCACGAGCCCCCAAAAGTCATCTCTACCAGAGGTTCTCCTCATTTCTGAGAAGAGGGAAGCAGGGCCCATGCGTTTTGAGGTTGCCTCTGGCTCCAACGCGGTGACACGCAATGCCAGCCTCATGAGGGTGAGAGTCCTCTGAATGGCCCACGCTCTCTTGTGACAATGACACTTGTCTGTGAAGGAGAAGGCCAAGCTGACTCACACGCTGAGTGCCCCAAGGATGAAGGGGGTCCCCGGAGTGGGTACCGCACCTCCCTCTTTGCAGACAAGGAGGGGGCGGCTCTGAGACCCACAGGGATGTACCAGAGAGTGCGTGTTAGGCAGAACCGAACATCCCCAGGAAGGGAGGGAAAAGCAGGTGGCTGATATCTGCAGGGTCCTCTTGTACCTGAAACTCCAAAACTTTACACTATTTTCAGAATAACAGCAGCAGCAGATACAAAAGAACTCATGAGGGTTATGTCTTATAAAATAACAGAAAATATCTTAGGCAGACTGGGGAGTTTCTGTCTATCTATTACCCATCTATCATCTATCGACCTATTGATCTATTTATATATAATCTATCTAACATCTATCATCTATCTATCAATCATCTATCATCTACTATATATCCATCATCTATCATCCATCCATCCATCTATCCATCTATATATGTATTTATCTATTGAATCTATAATCTATGTATCAATTGTATATCTACCTATCATCTATCCCTGTAGCTATCTATCGACTTACCTATCTACCTATCTATCCATCTAATGTATTATGTAATCTATGTATTTATCTATTGAATCTATAATCTATGTATCAATTATCTATCTACCTATCATCTATCCCTGTAGCTATCTCTCTATCCAGCTATCTATCTATACATCTATCTATCCATCCATCTAATGTATTATCTATCTATGTATTTATCTATTGAATCTATAACCTATGTATCAACTATCTACCTATCATCTATCTGTCTGGCTAGCTAGCTGTCTATCTACCTATCATCTCTCTACTATCTATCTATCATCTACTATATATCCATCATCTATCATCCATCCATCTATGCATCCATCCATCTATCCATCTATATATGTATTTATCTATTGAATCTATAACGTATGTATCAATTATCTACCTATCATCTATCCCTGTAGCTATCAACTTACCTATCTACCTATCTAATGTATTATCTAATCTATGTATTTCTCTATTGAATCTATAATCTATGTATCAATTATCTACTTATCATCTAACTGTTTGGCTAGCTAGCCGTCTATCTACCTATCATCTCTCTACTATCATCTACTATATATCCATCATGTATCTATCATCCATCCATCTATGCATCCATCCATCTATCCATGTATCTATATATGTATTTATCTATTGAATCTATAATCTGTGTATCAATTATCTATCTACCTATCTTCTATCCCAGTAGCTATCTATCAACTTACCTACCTATCTATCTAATGTATTATCTAATCTATGTATTTATCTATTGAATCTATAATCTATGTATCAATTATCTACCTATCATCTATCTGTCTGGCTAGCTAGCCATCTATCTACCTATCATCTCTCTACTATCTATCTATCATCTACTATATATCCATCCTCTATCATCCATCCATCAATCTATCCATCTATCTATATATGTATTTATGTATTGAATCTATAACCTATGTATCAATTATCTATCACCTATCCCTGTAGCTATCTACCTACCTACCTATTGATCTATCTATCCATCTAATGTATTATCTATTTATCTATTGAATCTATAATCTATGTATCAATTATCTACCTATCATCTATCCGTCTAGCTAGCTGTCTACCTATCATCTCCCTAGTATCTATCGTCTACTATATATCCATCATCTATCTATTATCCATCCATCTATCCATCTATCTATATATGCACTTATCTATTGAATCTGTAACCTATGTATCAATTATCTATCTACCTATCATCTATCCCTGTAGCCATCTATCCACCTATCTATCTAATGCATTATCTGTTGAATCTATAATCTATGTATCACTTATCTACCTATCATCTCTCCATCTAGCTAGCTAGCTGTCTATCCACCTACCATCTCTCTACTATCTATAGTCTACTATATATCCATCATCTATCTATTATCCATCCATCTATCCATCTATCTATATATGTATTTATCTATTGAATCTATAATCTATGTATCAATTATCCCTCTACCTATCATCTATCCGCCTAGCTAGCTAGCTGTCTATCTATCTACCTATCAGCTCTCTACTATTTATCATCTACTATATATCCATCCTCTATTATCCATCCATTTATCTATATATTTATGTATCAAATCTATAATCTATGTATCAGTTGTCTACCTATCATCTATCCCTGTATCTATTTGCCTATCATCCCTCCATTATCTGCCTATCTAGCTCTCTATCATCTATGCATCTATCCAGTTATCTCTCTATATATCTGTCATATATTTATCTACCTATCTCTATCATTTATGTAATTTAACTCACCTATTCCTATGTATTAATAATATATCTGTTATCTATCTATCATTTATGTATTTACCTAGGTCTATCATTTAATTGTCCTAATTTATGTCTTTTCTATTAATTATATACCTACCATCTATCTCGTTCTAACAGTTATCTATTTCTATCTAGTTTAACCTATTTAGTTTATTTCTTTCCATCTGTAATAGAATATGTCTATTGTCTATCTATATATCCTTTTTTGCTTTTTTTGAGACAGTATTATTCTGCCACCCAAGCTGGAATGCAGTGGCACGATCTCAGCTCACTGCAACCTCCACCTCCCGGGTTCAAGTGATTCTCTTGCCTCAGCCTCCCGAGTAGCTGGGACTACAGGCCCAGTCAATTTTTTACAGACCACCACGCCCAGCCAATTTTTGTATTTTTAGTAGAGACGGGTTTTCATCATGTTGTCCAGGCTTGTCTCAAACTCCTGACCTCAGGTGATCTGCCCGCCTCGGCCTCCCAAAGTGCTGGGATTAGTGGCGTGAGCCACCGCGCCCAGTCTGTCTATATACCTTTCTCTCTCTCTCTCTCCACACACACACGCACACACATAATTGTGTTTGTAAGCATCTGGAGAATACGTCTAATCATCTAATCTCCCATTTCAATTTGGGATCCATTACTTCCACAGTCAACACTATCCAATTAGCAATAGCCACTTAAACACTTCAGGCATCTTGGAATGTCTGTTTTTCTAAGCCAAGATCTAAAACCTTGGATGTCAGATTTTCCAGATCTCCTGTTTTGGGGACTGGTGTGAAAACGTCATTCGATGACAGGCCGACCCAGGTGGCCCCTGCCTTAACATCAAACGCCATCAAACTCTCCGAACACGCTTCTGGCTCCAGGCAGGTGCCGTTTTTCTCCCCACAGAAAGGTCAGCTAGAGTCACCCTTAAAATAATGCACTTGTATATTTTTTATTGTGTGGACAAGAAATTGGGAACAGGTTCAGGCTGCTCAGAAAAACGTGTTAAGTTTATTTTTGAACAGAGGTTTATTAAAAAAAAAAAAAGCCAAGGAAAGTCATGCATGGTTTTGAGCTTCTGCCTCGCAGTACCTGGTAGATGCTGGTGTTGCAAAGTGGACACAGCAATTTGATCCCTTCCCTGGGTCACCAGGGAAACCTGTGCCCCACACTTGTCTCAGCTGCAGATGTGTAAAAGTGGCTGAGATGGTTTCTTCTAGAAGTGAGTTAAAAAGGACTGTAAGGGGCCGGGCGCGGTGGCTCATGCCTGTAATCCCAGCCCTTTGGGAGGCCGAGGCGGACGGATCACAAGGTCAGGAGATAGAGACCATCCTGGCTAACAGGGTGAAGCCCCATCTCTACTAAAATACTAAAAAAAAAAAAAAAAAAAAATAGCCAGGCGTGGTGGCGGGCACCTATAGTCCCAGCTACTCAGGAGGCTGAGGCAGGAGAATGGAGTGAATCCGGGAGGCGGAGGTTGCAGTCAGCCAAGATCGTGCCACTGCACTCCAGCCTGGGCGACAGAGCGAGACTCCGTCTCAAAAAAAGGAATTAAAAAGAAGGAAAAAAAAGGGCGACACAGTGGCTCACGCCTGTAATCCCAGCACTTTGGGAGGCCGAGGCGGGCAGATCATGAGGTCAGGAGATCGAGACCATCCTGACTAACACAGTGAAACCCTGTCTCTGCTAAAATACAAAAAAACATTAGGCGGGCGTGGTGGTGGGAGCCTGTAGTCCCAGCTATTCAGGAGGCTGAGGCAGGAGAATGGCATGAACCCAGGAGGTGGAGGTTGCAGTGAGCCGAGATCGCGCCACTGCACTCCAGCCTGGGCGACAGAGCAAGACTCCATCTCACAAAAAAAAAAAAAAAAAAGGACTGTAAAACCACTTGTCCTAACCATGCTGGTTTGTGGATCTTGTTGATCCCTGGGAGACCCAGTGTGGGGCTGTGACTCACAAACTTCCCTAATGTGGGGCCTTGAGTGTATAATCAACACTCTCGCGTCTGAAGTTAACTGGGATGCTGGTTTCCTGCAGACACCTTCCAGGGAGAAAAAGCCGAGATGCTGCTGGCTGCATGGGTCCCCCATGGAGTCACTTAAGAAAAGCAAAGAGGCCAGGTGCGGTGACTCACACCTGTCATCCCAGCATTTTGGGAGGCTGAGGCGGGCACATCACCAGAGGTCAGAAGTTCAAGACCAGCCTGACCAATGTGGTGAAACCCGTCTCTACTAAAAATACAAAAATTAGCCAGGCGTGGTGGTGGGCGCCTGTAGTCCCAGCTACTCAGGAGGCTGAGGCAGGAGACTAGCTTGAACCTGGGAGGCAGAGGTTGCAGTGAGCCGAGATCATGCCACTGCACTCCAGCCTGGGCAACAGAGTGAGACTTTGTCTCAAAAAAATAAATAAATACATACATAAAAAATAAATAAAAATTAAAATAAAAAAAGAGGAGCTGCACAGTGGCTCAGGACTGTAATCCCAGGACTTTGGGAGGCAGAGGCAGACAGATTGCCTAAGCTCAGAAGTTCGAGACCAGCCTGACCAACGTAGTGAAACCCTGTCTCTACTAAAAATACAAAAATTAGCCGGGCGTAGTGGCAAGTGCCTGTAATCCTAGCTACTGGGAGGCTGAGGCAGGAGAATTGCTTGAACCCAGGAGGTGGAGGTTGCAGTGAGCCGAGATCATGCCAATGCACTCAAGCCTGGGCAACAGAGCAAGACTTCGTCTCAAAATAATAATAATAAATAAATACATAAAAAATAAATAAAAATTAAATTAAAACTAAAAAAAAAAGAGGGGCAGCACAGTGGCTCAGGCCTGTAATCCCAGGACTTTGGGAGTTGGAGGAAGCAAGATTGCCTGAGCTCATGAGTTTGAGACCAGCCTGGGCAACATGATGAACCCCCTGTCTCTATAAAAAGTACAAAAGTGAGCTGGGCATGGTGGTGCATGCGTGTAGTCCTAGCTACCTGGGAGGCTGAGGTGGGAAGATCGTTTGAGCCCAGTAGACAGAGGTTGTAGTAAGCTGAGATGATACCACTTCACTCCAGCCTGGGTGATATAGCCAGACCTTGTGTCAAAAAAATAAAAAACAAAAACAAAATAACATAACATAACATGAATTAAAAAAGGGGTGATCAGGCCATGGTGGCATCTTTCTCATGAATGGGCTTAAGGTCCTTAGGAAAGAGGCTTCCTGGCCGGACACGGTGGCTCATGCCTGTAATCCCAGCATTTTGGGAGGCTGAGGCGGGTGGATCATGAGGTCAGGAGTTCAAGATCAGCCTGGCCAACATGGTGAAACCCCGTCTCTGCTAAAAATACAAAAATTAGCCGGGTGTGGTGGCAGGCACCTGTAATCCCAGCTACTCAGGAGGCTGAGGCAGAAGAATTGTTTCAACCCGGGAGGTGGAGGTTGCAGTGAGCCAAGGTCACACCACTGTGCTCCAGCCTGGGCGATAGAGCAAGACTCCTTCTCGAAAAAAAGAGAGTAAGAAAGAAAGAAAAAGAAAGAAAGAGAGAGAGAGAGAGAGAGAAAGAAAGAAAGAAAGAAAGAAAGAAAGAAAGAAAGAAAGAAAGAAAGAAAGAGACAGGCTTCCTGTAACATTCAGTTCCCTTGGCCTTCCACCTTTACCATGTAAGGACAAGGTGTGTCTTCCTTCTGGAAGATTTAGCAGGAAGGTGCCATCTTGGAGGCAGAGAACAGCACTCATCAGATATAGAATCTGCTGGTGCCTTGGTCTTCATGTAAGGACAAGGTGTTTCTTCCTTCTGGAATATTCATCAGGAAGGCGCCATCTTGGAGTCAAAGAACAGCCCTCATCAGATATGGAATCTGCTGGTGCCTTGATCTTCATGTAAAGACAATGTGTTTCTTCCTTCTGGAAGATTCATCAGGAAGGTGCCATCTTGGAGGCAAAGAACAGCCCTCATCAGATATGGAATCTTCTGGTGCCTTGGTCTTCATGTAAGGACAAGGGGTTTCTTCCTTCTGGAAGATTCAGCAGGAATGTGCCATCTTGGAGTCAAAGAACAGCCCTCATCAGATATGGAATCTGCTGGTGCCTCCATCTTGGACTTCTCCTCCTCCAGAACCAGGAGTAAATAAGTCTCTGCTCTTTATAAACCACACAGTCTTAGGGACTCTGTTCTAGCAGTGAAAACAAATCCAGGCAGATGCAGATACATGATTTACGTGGGCTCAATGGCTAATAGAGATGACGTTCACCTGGAAACTCCACAGATGGGACCTTGACTAGCTAAGTCTAGGCTGACTGGAGAGTTCCTATCTGTCTATTACCTATCTATCATCTATCAATCAATTGATCTATCTACTATCTATCTATCTATATATCTAACATCTATCATCTTTTTATCAATCATCTATCATTTATCTATATATTCATCTATCATCTACCTATCATCAATCTATCATCTATGTATCTAACATCTATCATCTATCAATCATCTATCAACTATCAATCATCTATCAATCATCTATCAACTATCAATCATCTATCATCTATCTATATATTCATCATCTATCATCTATCAATCATCTATGTATCTATCTATCCACCTACCTATCAATAGATATTGATAGATAGGTAGGTGGATAGATAAACAGCCCTGATGAGGGCTCTTCTTTGCCTCCAAGATGGCACCTTCCTGATGAATCTTCCAGAAGAAACACCTTGTCTTTACATGAAGACCACCTATCTATCTATCTATCTATGTCTGTGTCTATCCATTCATCCATCTATCCATTCATCTATTTAGTGTATTCTCTGTGTATTTATCTATTGAATCTACAATCTATGTATCAATTATCTATCTGTCATCTATCTATCTGTCTAGCTAGCTGTCTATCTGCCTATCCTCTCTCTACTACCAGGAGTTCATCGGTGGGTCTTGATTCTCTCATGTGGTAAGTATCATCACAGCTTAGAATCTCACGTCTTCACCATCACCTCCTCTCTGTCCTATATAATTAGTTCCAAGGGTCTTAATTAGGCACTTATGTAACCCAGCACTGCTTATTGCAAAAGTTGAATCTCCAATGAAAGGTTCTTAGCCTCCATGGAGATCCTGAGATTCTCTGCTTGGCTGTTCCCAACTTCCATGTCAACCTGGGGCTTGGGGCAACCCCTTCTCCATCTGGCATCTTGCCTCCTCCTTGGTGGCCTGGGCCAAGACTCTGTTCTCCCTGCCTACCCGAGTCTCCATAAGCAAGGTTGCACTGCTCATTTAGACCTCAGATCTGTGGAGCTGACTGAGTTTCTGCATGCCTTAGAAGATGAGCTTTGAGGCTGGGCGCCGGTGCCTTACATCTGTAATCCCAGCACTTTGGGAGGCCGAAGCAGGTGGATCGCCTGAGGTCAGGAGTTCAACACCAGCCTGGCCAACATGGTGAAACCCCATCTTTACTAAAGATACAAAAAATTAGCCGGGGGTGGTGGCAGGTGCCTGTAATCCCAGCTACTCGGGAGGCTGAGGCAGGAGAACTGCTTGAACCCGGGAGGCGGAGCTTGCGGTGAGCTGAGATCACGCCATTGCACTCCAGCCTGGGCGACAGAGCGAGTCTCCATCTCAAAAAAAAAAAAAAAAGAAGAAGAAGAAGATGAGCTTTGAAGGATTCATGGAAAACTGTAAAAGCTGCAATGCTTGATCGCATTTACAGACGCTTTTCCTTTGCAGGCTTAACCTTTGTTTGGGTAAACACGCTAATTGTTTTAAACATGATTTGAAAAGTCTGTTTTGCTTCACGAATGTTGAGGAATGAATCCAAGGGCTGAGGTTTGCCAAACTCCTCAGGAAACCATCGACCCTGGGTTATCGCTGTGACAGTTTGGAATCCCGGAACCCACAGGAACTCCAAGCACCTGTCACCCTCCTCACCGGTGCCCATTGAGGAGGGTGGCAAGGTGCTCCAATGACCATCACAGGTGGCATCTCACTTTCATCTTAGTGGGCTGCCGAGGGTAGTGGCATCCTTGTAAATCCTAGCACTTTCTATGAAACGCTAAAAGTTAAGAGTTTGGGGACCGGGGACAGCATGGCTGAACAACTCTTAATTTTATGTATATATGTATGTATGTATTGGAGATGGAGTCTCACTCTGTCTCCCAGGCTGGAGTGCAGTGGCACAATCTCGGCTCACTGCAACCTCTGCCTCCCAGGTTCAGGTGATTCTCATGCCTTAACCTCCTGAGTAGCTGTGACTACAGGCACCACCACCATGCCTGGCTAATTTTGGTATTTTTAGTAGAGATAGGTTTTCACCGTGTTGGTCAGCCTCGTCTTGAACTCCTGACCCCAGGTGATATGTCTGCCTTGGCCTCCCAAAGTGTTGGGATGACAGGTGTGAGCCACTGTGCTCGGCCAACCCTTGAATTTAGGCTCAGAAGTTGCCATTTCCTCTGTTTTGCAACTTATTCTCTGAATACTCACTGAAAAATCACCCACCTTCTAGAAAGTTCTGATGTCTCTTCTGTAAAATGCCTGCCTCTCATTGTCTGAGGGTCAAGCTGCATTTTAAAACAAAAGCACTATGTAAAAATTGAATATTTCTCTCCATAAAATAAAGGTAGAAGGATCACTGGAGCCCAGGAGTTTGAGACCAGCCTGGGCAATACAGTGAGGCCCCATCTCTCCAAAATTTTTTTTCTTTTTTTTGAGACGGAGTCTTGCTCTGTCACCCAGGCTGGAGGGCAGTGGCGTGATCTCAGCTCACTGCAAGCTCCACCTCTCGGGTTTATGCCATTCTCCTGCCTCAGCCTCCCCAGTAGCTGGGACTACAGCTGTCCACCACCACACCCGGCTAATTGTATTTTTAGGAGAGACGGGGTCCCACCGTGTTAGCCAAGATGGTCTCGAACTCCTGACCCCGTGATCCGCCCACCTCGGCCTCCCAAACTGCTGTGATTACAGGCGTGAGCCACTGTGCCCGGCCCCGATTTTTTTTTTAATGAATGGGACATGGTGGTGTGTTCCTGTGGTCCCAGCCACTTGGGAGGCTGAGATGAGAGGGTTGCTTGAGCCCAGGAGTTTGAGACCAGCCTGGGCAACATAGCAAGACCCCATCTCTGCAATTTTTTTTTTAAATTAATGGTGCATGGTGGTGCTCTGGGAAACATAGTGAGACCCCCTCTCTCCAAAACATGTTTAAAAATTAACAGGGCATGGTGGCACGCTCCTGTGGTCCCAGCTACTTGGGAGGCTGAGGTGGGAGGATGGCTTGAGTCCAGCAGCGTGAGGTTGCAGTGAGCTATGATTGCTCCATTGCACTCCAGTCTGGGTGACGGAGCAAGATTGTCTCTCAAGAAAAGAAAGAGAGAAACAGCTGTGGACAAAGGCAGAATGCCCCTCTGCAAAGACAAAGTCAAGGGATGGGGTCACGGTGAGGCAGATGGAGAGGAAGACAGGAGAGATCCTTCCCACTGTGGGTGGCTGGTGCTTCCTCCTCTCCTCCCTCCCTGACTCCAGCTCCCCACCTCCCTGATTTTTGGAGAACTCGACAATGAGTTGCCAAAATGACATCTTCCTCAACTCTGGCACTGACCTTCCGCAAAACCACCAGTGTCATCCCTTTTCTTCCAAAAGATGCCCTGGAATTGGAACAGAGAGAAAATATCTTCCAGGAGAGCTGTCTCTCTCTGTGTCTCTCTCCCCCCTCTCTCTCCCCTGTCTCTCTCTCTCTGTCTCTCTCTCTCCTCTCTGTCTCTCTCTCCCCTCTCTCTCTCTCCCCTTTCTGTCTCTCTCCTCTCTCTCTCTCTCTCCCTGTCTCTGTCTCTCTCTCTCCTCCCTCTCTCCCGTCTCTCTCTCCCCTATCTCTCTGTCTGTGTCTCTCTCTCTCTCCCCTCCCTCTCCCGTCTCTCTCTCTCCCCTCCCTCTCCCGTCTCTCTCTCTCCCCCCTCTGTCTCTCTCTCTCCCCCCTCTGTCTCTCTCCCCCCTCTCCCCTCTGTCTCTTTCTCTCCCCCCTTTCTCTCTCTCCCCTCTCTCTTTCCCCCTCTGTCTCCCTCTCTCCCCCCATCTCTCTCTCTCTCCCCTCTCTGTCTCTCTCTCTCTCTCTTCCCTGTCTCTATATCTCTGCCCCCCTCTCTCTCCCCTCTCTGTCTCTCTCTCTTCCCTGTCTCTATCTCTCTCCCCCACTCTCTCTCTCTCCCCTGTCTCTCTCTCTCTCTCTCTCTCTCTCTCTCTCTCTCTCCAACCAGAGCAGCTGTGGGGCCGCCCGTCACAAGAGGCCACATAACTTCCCTTCATCAGTTTCCAGCAATCAGCTGGGAAAATTGTCCCATATGTGGGAGTGCCAAGCGGGGTGCAGGGTTAGGGCTGGGACACAGGCCACAGCGAGGTTACTGTCTGGCTGCAATTACGTGCATGCTGCAGGAATCCGGGGGTGCCTTGGGGAGCTGTTGCACTCCGGTTCTTTATAATTGCACGCTCGGAAATTACTCACCCTGCAACGTCTTGGGGCCTTCCCAGTTCAGCCTCTGCCCACATGTTCCCCGAGGAGGAACAGCCTAGTCTTGGCGGGTTTGGAATCTCCACTGTGTTTATTAATTATTTATTGTTATTTATTTATTTTTGAGACGGAGTCTCATTCTCTTGCCCAGGCTGTAGTGCAGTGGCGCGATCTCGGCTCACTGCAACCTCCACCTCCCAGGTTCAAGCCATTCTCCTGCCTCAGCCTCCCAAGTAGCTGGGACTACAGGCACGTGCCACCACACCAGGCTAATTTTTTGTATTTTTTTTTTTAGTGGAGATGGGGTTTCACCATGTTAGCCAGGATGGTCTCGATCTCCTGAACTCGTGATCCATCTGCCTCGGCCTCCCAAAGTGCTGGGATGACAGGCGTAAGCCACCATACCTGGCCTATTTATTCATTTTTGAGATGGAGTCTCACTTTCTCGCCCAAGCTGGAGTGCAGTGGCACAATCTCGGCTCAGTGCAAGCTCCACCTCCTGGGTTCAAGCAATTCTCCTGCCTCAGCCTCCTGAGTAGCTGGGTTGACAGGCACCTGCCACCACGCCCGGCTAATATTTTGTATTTGTTTTTTTAGTAGAGATGGGGTTTCACCATGTTGGCCAGGTCGGTCTTGATCTCCTGACCTCGTGATACACCCACCTCGGACTCCCAAAGTGCTGGGATTACAGGTGTGAGCCACTGCACCTGGCCTATTTATTTATTTTTGAGATGGAGTCTTGGTCTCTCACCCAGGCTGGAGTGCAGTGGCACGATCTTGGCTCAGTGCAACCTCCGCCTCCCGGGTTCAAGCGATTCTCCTGCCTCAGCCTCCTGAGTAGCTGGGTTGACGGGCACCAGCCACCACGCCAGGCTAATTTTTGTATTTTTAATAGAGATGAAGTTTCCCCATGTTGGCCAGGCTGTTCTCGAACTACTGACCTCAAGTGATCTGCCCACCTCGGCCTCCCAAAGTGCTGGGATTACAGGCGTGAGCCACCACGCCCGGCCCAATCTGTGGTTTTTTTGGGGCTTGCCTTTTTTCACAGAATGCTATCTTTTCAGATTCATGAACATTGTAGCCTGTCTCAGAGCTTCACTCCTTTACTGTTTTTATTTTATTTTATTTTACATTTATTTATTTCTTCACTTATTTATCTTTTGAGATGAAGCCTTGCTGTCACCAGGCTGGACTGCAGTGGTGCGATCTGGGCTCACTGCAACCTCCGCCTCCCAGGTTCAAGTGATTCTCCTGCCTCGGCCTCCCGAGTAGCTGGGGTCACAGGCACCCACCACCACGCCAGGCTAATTTTTGTATTTTCAGTAGAGACGGGGTTTCACCATGTTGGTTAGGCTGGTCTTGAACTCCTGACCTCAGATGATCCACCCGCCTTGGGCTCTCAAAGTGCTGGGATTACAGGAGTGAGCTACCTCGCCCGGCCCTTCGTTGTGCTGGGTTTTAAAATCATCCCAAAGAGACCCTGTGGGCCAGTTATAGAGACAGTGGCTGGTGCTTTTTGAGGGGGATTCTGCTATTTAAAAGTCCAGAGGGTACCCTGAGGGCAGATCACCTGAGGTCATGAGTTCGAGACCAGCCTGGCCTACATGGTGAAACCCCTTCTCTACGAAAAATATAAAAATTAGCCGGGCGCGGTGGTGGACGCCTGTCATCCCGGCTACTTGGGAGGCTGAGGCAGGAGAATCGCTTGAACCCAGGAGGCGGAGGTTGCACTGAGCCGAGATCGCTCCACTGCACTCCAGCCTAGGCGAGAGAGCAAGACTCTGTCTCAAAAATCAATAAATAGGCCAGGCGCCAGTGGCTCACGCCTGTCATCCCAGCACTTTGGGAGGCTGAGGCGGGTGGATCACGAAGTCAGGAGATCGAGACCATCCTGGCTAACACGGTGAAACCTCATCTCTATTAAAAAAATACAAAAAATTAGCCGGGAGTGGTGGCAGGTGCCTGTCAATCCAGCTACTCGGGAGGCTGAGGCAGGAGAATCACTTGAACCCATGAGGCGGAGGTTGCAGTGAGCCGAGATCGTGCCACTGCACTCCAGCCTGGGCGACAGAGCGAGACTTAGACACACACACGCATACACACACAGGAGACTTAGACACACACACACACACACGTCCTGAGGATATTTCTTCCCACGGAATGCTACCTGTTCATTTCTGCGCGTCTTGTGCCCTTAAAGTAAAGGTGGTGTCTTATCCTCAGCTGTCTCTGTGCACAGGGCCAGAGGAAGGAGTCTTGAGTTTCTTGGAAACAGTACCTGGCTGTAGTGCGGCTTAATCTCTGTCTCTTGAGCTGACCAGCCAGGTTAATTTGCCCCAAGTCACATTGGAAAAATCTGGGCCTCTCTGCTCAGCAAACTGGGAGAGAAAAATTACAACCAGATTGGGTGCGCTCATTACTCCGACGGCAAACACTGAAAAAAATGTCTTAGGTTATTTATTTATCTCGTTATTGACGTATTGGTGTGAATTACATCACTGAAGTACTTTGAAATATGTAGCTTTGCCATGGAATAGGCTATAAGGAAGAAAGAAATCATGTCCTTTGTGGCAACCTGGATGCAGCTGGAGAATATTATCCTAAGATCATTATCACAGGAACACAGAAACAAATCTTGCATGTTCTCAACTTATAAGTGGGAGCTAAGTGTTGGATATACGTGGATATAAACATGGGAACAACAGAAACTGGGAGACTAGCAGAAGAGAGGGAGGGAGGGAGGAAGGGAGGGAGGCTATGGTTGAAAACCTCAAATAGCCACGAAGCCTTATTGAGCAAATGCAAAGTGTCTGGCGTGTTTGGCCGGGTGAGGTGGCTCACACCTGTAATCCCAGCACTTTAAGAGGCTGTAGCAGGTGGAAGGTTTGAGCCCAAGAGCTTGAGACCGGCAACATGGCAAGACGTCATCTTTACAATTTTTTTTTTTTTAATTAGCTAGGTGTGCTGGTGCACACCTGTAATCCCAGCTACTTGGGAAGCTGAGGGGTGAGGATTGCTCGAACACGGGAGCCGGAGGTTGCAGTGAGCTGAGATTCCACCACTGCACTCCAGCCTGGGCAACAAAGTGAGAGTCTGTCTCAAAAAAAAAAAAACAAAAAAGAAGAAGAAGAAAGAAAGAAAACAAAAAAGAAGAAGAAGAAAGAAAGAAAAAAAAGAAAAGAAAGGCAAGGCAGGGCAGGGCAGGGCAACCTCCTGGTTACTATGCTCAGTATCAGGGTGAGGGGATCACTTGTACCCCAAACCCGAACATCAGACAATATTCCCATGTAACAAACCTCCTACTCAGGAGACCGAGGCAGGAGAATCGCTTGAACCTGGGAGGCGGGAGATCACACCACTGTACTCCAGCCTGGGTGACAAGAGAGAGATTTTGCCTCAAAAAATAAATAAATAAATAAATCAAATTCCAAATTATTATATACAAATATATATGCAGCTTTCCAAGGACAAATGGACTGTTCTAAAAAAAAAAAAAAAAAAGGCCACCACGGTGGGTGATGCCTGTAATCCCAGCACTTTGGGTTGGGAGGCCAAGGCAGGTGGATCACGAGGTCAGGAGATCAAGACCATCCTGGCTAACATGGTGAAACCCCATCTCTACTGAAAAAAAGATACAAAAAAATTATCTGGGCGTTGTTGCAGATGCCTGTCAACCCAGCTACTCAGGAGGCTGAGGCAGGAGAATCGCTTGAACCTGGGAGATGGAGGTTGCCGTGAGCCGAGATCACACCACTGCACTCCAGCCTGGTCGACAAGAGTGAGATTTTGTCTCAAAAAATAAATAAATAAATAAATGAAATTCCAACATTATTATATACAAATATATATGAAGCTTTCCAGGGACAAATGGACTGTTCTAAAAAAGAAAAAAAATGCCGGGTACAGTGGCTCACGCCTGTCATCCCAGCACTTTGGGAGGCAGAGGCGGGTGGATCACGAGGTCAGGAGATCGAGACTATCCTGGCTAACACGGTGAAACTCCATCTCTACTAAAAATACAAAAAATTAGCCGGTCGTGGTGGCGGGTGCCTGTAGTCCCAGCTACTCGGGAGGCTGAGGCAGGAGAATGGTGTGAACCCGGGGGGCGGATGTTGCAGTGAGCTGAGATCGCACTACTGTACTCCAGCCTGGGTGATAGAGCAAGACTCCGTCTCGGGGGAAAAAAAAAAAGGCTTAAGTGTTAATCAACAACAATGCTTAAGTGTTAAACAACAACAACAAAAAAGGAAACCATTAGAGGACTCTGTCAGTGATTCATGGAGACTGGCTTGGCGAATGCCGTTGAAAAGAAGGGCCGTCCTCCCAGACTCCGGGTGATAGACAGGTGGACGCCTAAGAGGAAAGCATTTATTTTCCATGTTTAAATCGTTATTAAACAAGACACATACTGCAAAACATTTATTGGAAGGGAGCAACGTGAACCAGCCATGGGCTGCCTGAAGAGCCCCAGATGTAAACCATTACATTATCTGAGGATTAAAGTGTGTTCACATTTCCAGTTTTGCCCATCAGGAAGGCATGTGATTTGAAAGTGTAATTGGCCGATGTCATTTTTGGGGGAACGCACAGCGTGCTGTGGACGTATTAACTTACTGGAAAGAATTTATGGGGCATGTGGCCTCCTTGCAGGATTCTGGGACATGGGGTGAAGTCCCCACTATCAATTGGCACCCACAGGTGTGTGGATACCCCACCCACCAGAGGCTCCAGCATGATTTACCCACCAGAGGCTCCAGCATGATTTACCCACCAGAGGCTCCAGCATGATTTACCCACCAGAGGCTCTAGCATGATTTACCCACCAGAAGCTTCAGCATGATTTACCCACCAGAGGCTCCAACATAATTTACCCACCAGAAGCTCCAGCATGATTTACCCACCAGAGGTTCCAGCATGATTTACCCACCAGAAGCTTCAGCATGATTTACCCACCAGAAGCTTCAGCATGATCCACCCACCAGAGGTTCCAACATGGTCCACCCACCAGAAGCTCCAGCATAATTTACCCACCAGAAGCTCCACCATGGTCCACCCACCAGAAGCTCCACCATGGTCCACCCACCAGAAGCTCCAGCATGGTCCACCCATCAGAAGCTCCAGCATAATTTACCTCCAAGAAGCTCCCACCATGGTCTACTCACCAGAAGCTCCACCATGGTCCACCCACCAGAAGCTCCAGCATGGTCCATCCACCAGAAGCTCGAGCATGATCCACCCACCAGAAGCTCCAGCATGATCCACCCACCAGAAGCTCCAGCATGATTTACCCATGAGAAGCTCCAGCATGGTCCACCCACCAGAAGCTCCAGCATGATTTACCCACGAGAAGCTCCAGCATAATTTATCCACCAGAAGCTCCACCGTGGTCTACTCACCAGAAGCTCCAGCATGATTTACCCACCAGAAGTTGCAGCATGATTTACCCACGAGAAGCGCCAGCATAATTTATCCACCAGAAGCTCCACCGTGGTCTACTCACCAGAAGCTCCAGCATGATTTACCCACCAGAAGCTCCAGCATGATTTACCCCACCAGAAGCTCCAGCATGCTCCACCCACCAGAAGCTCCACCATGGTCTACCCACCAGAAGCTCCACCATGGTCCACCTACCAGAAGCTCCAGTATGGTTCACCCACCAGAAGCCCCAGCATGGTCCACCCACCAGAAGCTCCACCATGGTCCACCTACCAGAAGCTCCAGTATGGTTCACCCACCAGAAGCCCCAGCATGGTCCACCTACCAGAAGCTCCAGCATGATTTACCCATGAGTAGCTCCAGCATAATTTATCCACCAGAAGCTCCACCATGGTCTACTCACCAGAAGCTCCAACATTATTTACCCACCAGAAGCTCCACCATAGTCCACCCACCAGAAGATTCAGCATCGTCCACCCACTAGAAGCTCCAGCATCGCCCACCCACCAGAAGCTCCAGCATGGTCCACCCACCAGAAGCTCCAGCTTCTTCTAAAAAGCTGATGCTGTTTGCCGTATTTGCTTTCTTTTTCTGGGAGGTGGAGGTTGCAGTGAGCCAAGATTGCACCACTGTACTCTGGCCTGAGCAACAAAGGCAGAGACTCCATCTCAAACAAACATACAAACACAACAAAAACAAAAAAACAAACAAACAAAAACACTTTTATTTTAGGTCCAGGGGTACATGTGTGGGTTTGTTATATAGGTAAACTCATGTCATAGGGTTTTGTTGTACAGATTATTTTGTCACCCAGGTACAAACTTTGTACACAATAAGTTATTTTTTTCTGATCCAGTCCCTCCTCCCAACCTGCACCCTTAAAGAAAATGTGCCACATATGCATGGGATACTATGCAGCCATAAAAAAGGATGAGCTCATATCTTTTGCAGGAACACAGCTGGAGCTATGGTATGCTTAGCAAACCAATGCAGGAACAGAAAACTAAATACCACACGTTTTCATTTAAAAGTGGGAGCCAGCCGGGTGTGGTGGCTCACACTTGTAATTCCATCACATTGGGAGGCCAAGGTGGGTGGATCACTTAAGGTCAGGAGTTAGAGACCAGCCTGGCCAACATGATGAAACCTCATTTCTCCTAAAAATACAAAAATTAGCTCGGCATGGTGGCGCATGCCTGTAATCCTAGACACTCGGGGGGCACTGAGGCAGAAGACTCACTTGAACCCGGGTGGTGAAGGTTGCAGTGAGCCGAGATCGTGCCACTGTACTCCAGCCTGAGTGGCAGAGTGGGACTCAGTCTCAAAATAAATAAATAAATTTAAAAATAAAGATTCTATCATGAAAGAGCGTTACCAGCCAGGCACAGTGGCTCATGCCTGTAATCCCAGCACTCTGGGAGGCCGAGGAGGGCAGATCATTTGAGGACAGGAGTTCTAGACCAGCCTGACCAATATGGTGAAGTCCCGTCTCTACTGAAAATACAAAAGTTAGCCAGGAGTGCTGGCAGACACCTGTAATCCCAGTGACCCAGGAGGTTGAGGCAGGAGAATCACTTGAACTCGGGAGGTGGAGTGTACAGTGAGCCGAGATCTTGCCACTGCAGTCCAGCCTGGGTGACAGAGTGAGACTCTGTCTCAAAAAAAAATTAATTAATTAAAAATAAAAGTGAGAGCTAAATGATGAGAACCTATGGACAAGAGACACTGATTTTTTTTTTTCCTGGTGTTACCCACATCACGAAGAATATTGTTTTTTCACCCCACTGATGCTTGGAACCACCTGTCAAGCAGTTTTCTCATATTGTTTTATTTAAATAGAAGGAAGAAGGGAAGACTCTGACCTTCCAGGGTACCTGGGGAGGTAAGAAGTAATCTATGTAACAGGAATGGGGAAAGAGAGCAGGTAGGTAGAGAGACGAGTTTTTTGTTTTTTGGTTTTTTTTTTGGAGATGGAGTCTCACTCTGTCACCAAGGCTGGAGCGATCTCTGATCACTGCAACCTACACCTCCCGGGTTCAAGCAATTCTCCTGCCTCAGCCTCCCAAGTAGTTGGGATTACAAACATACAAACACAACAAAAACAAAAACACAAACAAACAAAAACACTTTTATTTAGGTCTAGGGGTACATGTGTGGGTTTGTTATATAGGTAAACTCATGTCATAGGGGTTTGTTGTACAGATTATTTTGTCACCCAGGTACAAAGCTTTGTACACAATAAGTTATTTTTTTCTGATCCTTTCCCTCCTCCCAACATGCACCCTTAAAGAAAATGTGCCATGTATGCATGGAATACTATGCAGCCATAAAAAAGGATGACCACCATGCCTGGCTAATTTTTGTATTTTTAGTAGAGACAGGGTTTCACCATGTTGGCCAGGCTGGTCTCGATCTCCTGACCTCATGATCCACCAGCCTTGGCCTCCCAAAGTGCTGGGATTACAGGCATGAGCCACTGCGCCTGGCCAGTTGACTGCTTTTGTAATCAAGAAACCTTGTGATATATAAATAGCCACTTTCCAAAAAAAAAAAATCACCAGAATACCTCCAGTATTGACAAGCTGTGGGGTGTTGAGAGAATTCGAGATTGTCTTAGCAGCCTGGGACCTTTCTGTACTCCTGAACAGAACAGTGGACGATGATCTCATTGTTGAATCAGGAGGATGTGCTCCTATTCACAACAGCAAAGACTTGGAACCAACCCAAATGCCCATCAGTGATAAACTGGATAAAGAAAATGTGGCACATAGACACCATGGAATACTATGCAGCCATAAAAAGGGATGCATTCATGTCCTTTGCAGGGACATGGATGAAGCTGGAAGCCATCATTCTCAGCAAACTAACACAGGAACAGAAAACCAAACACCCCATGTTCTCACTCATAAGAGGGAGTTGAACAATGAGAACACGTGGACACAGAGAGGGGAACATAACACACTGGGGCTTGTCTGGGGGTTGGGGGAAAGGGGAGGGGCAGCATTAGGACAAATACATAATGCAGGCAGGGCTTAAAACCTAGATGATGGGTTGATAGGTGCAGCAAACCACCATGGCACATGTATACCTATGTAACAAACCTGCACGTTCTGCAAATGTATACCATAACTTGAAGTGAAGAAGGAGAAGGAGGAGAAGGAGAAGGAGAAGGAGAAGAAGAAGAAGAAGAAGAAGAAGAAGAAGAAGAAGAGGAGGAGGAGGAGGAGGAGAAGGAGGAGGAGGAGGAAGAAGGGGAAGGGGAAGGGGAAAAAGAAGGAGAAGGAGAGGAGGAAGAAGAGGAAGAGGGAGAAGAGGGAGAAGAAGGAGAAGGAGAGGAGGAAGAGGAAGAAGAAGAAGAAGAAGAAGGACAAGGAGAAAAGGAGGAGGAGGAGGAGCGGGAGGAGCAGGAGGAGAAGAAGAAGGAGGGTGTGTTCACATGGAAATTTGCTTCTAGCACCCAGTGGTTAAAAGGCACTCAAAACTTGTAATCACAGAGAGGGTGGTGATGAAGGTTTTTAAACATGTCATTCATTTGGAAGAAAACACTTGTGTCTTTACTTGTCTAGATGTAATGCCAAGTACCCACACTTCCTGTACAGACAGAACTTCATTTACTATTTATTCAATTTCCTCAAAGAGCAGGGTGAAATAGTTCCCTTTCCTATTTGGGGGGAAATGGGTTATTCTTTACGGGGGTTTTGTTAAGAGAATTGTAAATGATTTCTTCCCTGTCATCTGTCCAAACAGCTCAATGGGGAACTTTATTAGAACCAAAGCATGTATTAAAAAGTCTCGGCCAGGCACGGTGGCTCACATCTGTAATCCTAGCACTCTGGGAGGCCGAGGTGGGTGGATTACCTGAGGTCAGGAGGTCAAGACCAGCCTGGCCAAGAAGGTGAAACCTGTGTCTACTAAAAATACAAAAATTAGCCGGACAAGGTGGAGGGTTCCTGTAATCTCATCTGCTCGGGAGGCTGAGGCAGAGAATTGCTTGAACCCGGGAGGCAGAGGTTGTGGTGAGCCGAGATCACGCCACTGCACTACAGCCAGGGTGACAGAGTGAGACTCTGTCTAAAAAATAAAAATAAAAATAAAGAGTCTCTAAAATCTTCATTGAAAACTCATTTCGTCTCAAGACATCATTTATTTTGCAAATGTATTCTTCGTGGGTGGCATGTGAATTTGTAATGTGATATAGAAATTTTGGAATTTACTTTTTTGTTGTTTTTTGGTTGTTATCTTTCTTTTTTAAAAATTTTATTATTATTATACTTTAAGTTTTAGGGTACATGTGCACGACATGCAGGTTGGTTACATATGTATACATGAATTTACTTTTAAAAAGTTTTAAATAAGAAGGAAATACTTTCTAGGTAAATTTAATTGTATATAGAAGACCTAATGGGTGAGACTCTGCCTTGAAAGCTGGAGACACGTCAGTAAATAAGAATACACAATTAGAATAAGAAAGAGTAACAAACACTCTGCCCTCTAAAGCTTCCATTCTGCTTGGAGAAACCAAGAAAAACCCGAGAATCTTGGTCAAATACAATCTAGGGTAATGCAGTCAGGGAGCTGTCTGGTGAGTGTTGGAGGCCCCATAGGAATGCTGAGGAAGAAGAAGTTGAGGAAGAAGAAGACGCTTGTCACTAGGAGAATTCTAAGAATAAGAAAGGACGAAGACAACGTGATTTCACCAAAGATGTCCAAGTTGTAATTATCTCGTGGTAGACGGAATAATGGCCCCAAAGATATCCATGTCCTAATCCCCATGTGGTAGACAGAATAATGGCCCTAAAGATGTTACCAATATCCTATTCCCCATGTGGTAGACAGAATAATGTCCCCAGAGATGTCCATGTCCTAATCCCCATGTGGTAGACAGAATAATGGCCCCAAAAATGTCCACATCCTAATCCCCATGTGGGAGACAGAATAATGATCCTAAAGATGTGACCAACATCCTATTTCCCATGTGGTAGACAGAATAATGGTCCCAGAGATGTCCATATCCTAATCCCCATGAGGTAGACAGAATAGTGGTCCCAAAGATGTCCACATCCTAATCCCGTGTGGTAGACAGAATAATGGCCCCAAAGATGTCCATGTCCTAATCCCATGTGGTGAAAACAATAATGTTCCCAAAGATCTTCACATCCTAATCCCATGTGGGAGACAGAATAATGGCCTCAAAGATGTCCACATCCTAATCCTCATGTGGGAGACAGAATAATGGCCCCAAAGATGTCCACATCCTAATCTCCATTTGGTAGACAGAATAATGGCCTCAAATATGTCCATGTCCTAATCCCATGTGGCAGACAGAATAATGGCCCCAAAGATGTCCACGTCCTAATCCTCATGTGATAGACAGAATAATGGCCCCAAAGATGTACACATCCTAATCCCCATGTGGCAGACAGAATAATGGCCCCAAAGATGTCCACATCCTAATCCCCATGTGATAGACAGAATAATGGCCCCAAAGATGTACACATCCTAATCCCCACGTGGCAGACAGAATAATGGCCCCAAAGATGTCCACGTCCTAATCCCCATGTGGTAGACAGAATAATGACCCCAAAGATGTCCACATACTAATCCCCATGTGGTAGACAGAATAATGGCCTCAAAGATGTACACATCCTTATCCCCACGTGGCAGACAGAATAATGGCCCCAAAGATGTCCACATCCTAATCCCCATGTGGGAGACAGAATAATGGTCCCAAAGATACCCATGTCCTACTCCTCATGTGATACAGAGAATAATGGTCCCAAAGATGTCCATGGCCTAATACTAGGTAGCAGACAGAATAATGGCCCCAAGGATGTCTACATCCTAATCCCCATGTGGGTTGACAGAGTAAGCACCCCCTTCCCCCCCTCAAAAAAATATCCACATCCTAATTCTAGAAATCTGTAAAAACCTGTCATGGCTAAAAAGATTTTGCAGATGTGATTAGTTTAAGAATCATGAGATGAAATGACCCTGGATTATCCAGCTGGGTCTAAGATCATCACAGGATCTTTGTAAGAGGGAGGCAGGAGTGCCAGAGCCAGAGGAGGTGATGTTAGGACAAAAGCAAAGGTCAGAGTCACAGAGAAATTAGAAGATGCTGCACTACTGGCTCTGAAGTTCAAGGAAGGGTCCAGGAGCCAAGGAATACTCTAGAAACATTCCCCTAGAAGCAGGAAATGGCAAGGAAACTGATTCTCCCCCAGAACTTGCATCAAGAGGGAAGTTTTGCTGACACCTTGGTTTTAGGCCAGTGAGACCCAGGGTGGGCTTCAAAACTACAACACTGTAAGACAATACATTTGTGTTGCTTTAAGCCAATACGAATGTGATCATTGGTGATGGCGGCCAGAGGACACTCACAGAAGGAGTAATGTACTGGAGGTCTGCAGCAGGAATGAATTTGGCATGACTGGGGGGATGCCCAAGGGGGCAGCAAAGAAGAACAAGCAAAGGCTAAACGTGATGACTCCTTGTTTTAGAAGAACCCCCTTCAGAAGAAGAATCAGTAAAGCAAAGGCTGAACTCAACTTTGTCTTCTTTTCTTCCCCAGACATAATTTACGTTATTTTATTGGGACCACAGAGTCCCAGTTGGAGCAAGTGACCAGGGGCAGAGTTACAAAGAAGCCATAGGGAAGTAGTTAGATTGTATTCTGACTTCGATGTGAAATTATTGGCGGGTTTTGAGTGGCAATGAGGGATGTCTTATTCAGCTCGGGTTGCCATAACAAAAATTATAGACTGGGTGGCTTAAGTAACAGCCATTGATTTCTCACAGTTCTGGAGATGGGGAAGTCCGAGATCAAGGTATGGCAGATTTATTGTCTGGAGTGGGTCCTCTTGCTGGTTCACAGATGGTGCATTCAGAGAGAGAAAGAGAGAGAGAGAGAGAGCACTTTTGTGTCTCTCGCTCTTCTTATAAGGATACTAATCCCGTCATGAAGGACCCATCCTCATGACCTCATCTAAACCTCATCACCTCCAGAGACTTCACCTCCTAATATCATCCCATTGGGGATTAGGGTTTCCATATGGTGCATTTTGGAGGGACATGACTAGTAGGGGTTAGGCCTTCAACATACAAATTTTGGGAAACTTTGCTATTTAGTCATTAGCAAGGGATGAGGACCACAAGCTAAAAATCATCTCTATTTTTGAAAGATTTCTCTGCTTAAGAATAATTCCAGGATCAAAGCAGAAACCAGGACAGAAGCCAAGAGATCAATCAAGAGGATGTGGCTATGATCCAGATGACATATGTCATGCATGAGGGTGAAGAAAGCAAAGGCAGGAAAAT
This sequence comes from Homo sapiens, assembly GCF_000001405.40. NCBI lineage: Eukaryota > Metazoa > Chordata > Mammalia > Primates > Hominidae > Homo > Homo sapiens. Next base: position 10,392,207 of record NC_000021.9, read on the forward strand.
CTGATCCAATTTGACAAATGTTTGAGGTCATTCAAGAGACTTGCCAATGAATTGTATAAGGGGGAGATGAGAGAAAGAAGAGTTCAAAGTTTCCAAAGTCTTCTGCCAAAACACTTCTCAGGGGTGGTGGTGAATCCAGTGAAGGCTTTCCAGATGGTTTGGGATGGGTTAACTTGGAAGCCCTAATCATTTATCTGAGCTGAGAAGTTGAGCATACAGTTACATGCATGAATCTGAAGTAGAGAAAAGATGTCAAAGCCAGAGATGGGAATTTAGGATTTTGAGTGGATGTGTCAAGTCCTGGGGCTGAGTGAGATCCCCTGGAGAGAGAAGGAAGCTTATGTTTGAGCCCTAGTTCAGCCCAACATTTAGAAGAACCCCTTTGGGAAGAGGAGAAGAACGAGCAAAGGCTAAATGTGACTCCCTGTTTTAGAAGAACCTCCTTCAGAAGAAGAATCAATAAAGCAAAGGCTGAACTCAACTTTGTCTTCTTTTCTCCCCCAGACATAATTTATGTTCTTTTATTGGGAGTTTGTTTCCCACTCAACCTTTCAGGTTAGAGCTCTGAAGTCACGTTTGATTTTTCCCTCAACATCAAAGAGACACAACAGTTTGCTTCTGTGGTGACTGTTTTTTGTTTGTTTTTGTATTTTTGTTTTTTTGTTTTTGTGTGTGTGTTTGTGTTATTTTAATTTGTTTGTTTGTTTGAGACAATGTCTCACTCTGTCACCTGGGCTGGAGTGCAGTGGCACAATCTCAGCTCACTGCAACCTCCACCTCCTGGGCTTAAGTGATCCTCCCACCTCAGCTCCCCTAGTAGCTAGGACTACAGGCACACACCACCACTCCTGGCTATTTTTTCTATTTTTAATAGAGATGGGGGTCTCATCATGTTGCCCAGGCTGGTCTTGAACTCCAGAGCTCAAGTGATCTGCCTGTCTTGACCTCTCAAAGTGCTGGGATTACAGGTGTGAGCCATGGTGCCCAGCCTCACTGGTGACTTTGAATGCCTTCTCACTTCTTCCTTCCCACTCCATGCTCCAGGTTCAAAGACTCCATTACCACCATCCATCCCATGCCAGAGTCTCCAGGCTTCCATCTTCAGTGCCATCCCTTCTCATCCATCCTATGCATGGGTTCCAAGGTAATAGGTCTAAACACATTTAGACCTATTTAATATGTATAAGCATAAATGTTGACATGACTGGTCACAAAATGTTGGTGGTTTCTCATCAACTGCAGAGAATAGTTCAGGATCCTTACCTAAGTGTCTGAGATCTTTCATAAATTCACACATGGAAAGATGTGGCCTCTCTGTCTGTACTTCATCACATCACACCCAGCACCTCAATCTCTGACTCCATCATCAATTTCCTAGTTCCCTGAGTTTGCCTGCCCAGCCCTGAGTCATTGTAACATCTGATTCATCTTTTAAAGTTTAACAACAACAACAACAAAATCATCTGCTCTGAGAAGCCAGCCTTTCTCAGGTGCAGAGATTATCCCAGAGATAGACATATGGTTCAAGACAGGCTAGTTAACCTTCCCCTGAATTTGATCAGCAAAGACTGAGAGGGTGGTGGGAGAAGCTCAGACTGTGAATCTATAGCTACAGCAGCTGGATTTTTTTTTTCCATCCTATATTCCAAGACTTTTTCTGAGAGAATCTAGTCTGGAACCCAGAGAGAAGCAGAGAGTTGAGAGAGTCATCAGAACTTGGGAGATCCCTGAGAAGCTGTCCACCTCTACTTTTTGAGACTGTTTTTCCTAGACTCCCTTGCAGCTCTGTGTGACTGTATGATGAACTTTGAGCTCATGAGAAGTAAGTAGGAATGTATTAAGACCATAAAAATCTCTTTAATTTTGTAAAAAAGTGAATGTGAACTCTTCCCTCTCCTTTTGCTGCTAGCTGCAATGGAGATGTGAGGGCTGGAGACCATGCCACCATATTGAACCATGAGTAGAAAGTCACATACTAAAATAGTGGAGCAACAACATTCAAAATGCCTGACATCTTGAATCTGTACAATAACCTGGACCCCTTGTTCTGGCCTCCTATCATATCAGAGAGAAACAAACTTCCATCTTATTTAAGTCATGATTATTTGCTTATTTCCATACATTTGTTTATGCAGTTATACGATATTTATTCCATCTATCTATTATCTATCTATCATCTATCCTATCTATCTAACCATCTACCCATCATCTATCCTATCTTTCTATCCCTCTATCATCTATCTATCATCCATCTTATTCTATGTGACTATCAACCATCTTATTCTAACTATCTATCTATCTATCTACCTATCTATCTATCATCTCTCCTATCTAATCTATTTATCTATGTATCTATCCATCTTATCTATCTACCTATCATTTATCTATCCTGTGTATCAATGTATCTATCATGTATCTATCTGTCCTAGTTATCTATCAATTATGTATCTATCCATCCTATTTATCTACCTATTTTATGTATCTATTAAACATCTACATATCTATATATATTACCTATCATCTAGCTATTTATCTATCTATCCTATGTATTTATCATCTATTTATTCTATCTATATCTATTTTTTTCTCTATCTATGTCTCTATCTATCTATCTATCTATCTATCTATCTATCTATCTATCTAGAGATTTCTTAAGTCCTTGGGAATCCTGAGGTCAGCTCCATCATAGGATCTCACAGTTATATTAGTTCAACAATTTTCTTTCTCTGCCTAACTTACTCTGAGTTGTGTTTCAGTTGCTGTTGATTGGAACAAACCTCAAAAAGAAATTGGGACTATTATAATATTGCATTTATGGGTGGCTGACTTATGATGCTGCCTTCCTTGTCTCTGGATCCTGAGTCCTGCATCCAACCCAGTTCCACAGCCTGGGTATCTAACCGTTTCCCTGGAACTCAGTAACATTTGAACTGAAATGCCATTTTCTTGTTGGGATCATTATAATACTTTGGAAAACTGCCTTGGAATTAATGTGGTTACCCTTTGCATCTGTAAAATAAACAGGCATTTCTTTAGAAGGAGAAACTAAGGTTTCACAAAGACCTTCAGGGTCTGTTTTTCTTACACCAGAAGTCACACTCAGGCCAAGTAACATGTTCTGGTTCTGGCCCTTAGTGCTCCTGGTTGGACTAATGCCTGGGGCTCCCTCAAGGATTTCCTTCCCCATCTCTCCCTATTTTAGCCTCTCCCCAGGGGAAGAGGACATTGCTTTCATATCCTAACACCTTACCTGAAAATCCCCCATGTCTCTAAAATAAAGATGGAGGAAGCTCCCCCCCATTATTTATTTATTTACTTACTTTTTTGAAAGACAGTCTCGCTCTGTCACCCAGGCTGGAGTGCAGTGGCTCGATCTCCACTCACTGCAAGCTCCGCCTCCCGGGTTCACGCCATTCTCCTGCCTCAGCCTCCCGAGTAGCTGGGACTACAGGTGCCCGCCACCACGCCTGGCTAATTTTTTTGTATTTTTAGTAGAGACGGGGTTTCACCGTGTTAGCCAGGATGGCCTCGATCTCCTGACCTCGTGATCCGCCTGCCTCGGCCTCCCAAAGTGCTGGGATTACAGGTGTGAGCCACCGTGCCCGGCCTCTCTCCCTCTTTCTATGTATATGTCAGTCTTTCTCTCTCTGTGTCTCTCTTAGTGTCTCTCTTTCTTTGTATCTGTCCCTCTGTTTCTGTGTCTCCCTCTTTCTATCACTATCTCTCTGTGTGTTGCTGTCTCTTCATCTCTGTCTCCCTCTCTCTCTCTGTCTGTCTCTGTTTCTGCTTCTCTGTCTCCATCTCTTTCTCTCTCTGTGTCTCTCTTAGTGTCTCTCTGTCTCTGTCTTTCTCTCCATCTCTGTATCTGTCCCTCTGTTTCTGTGTCTCCCTCTTTCTATCACTGTCTCTCTGTGTGTTTCTGTCTCTTCATCTCTGTCTCCCTCTCTCTGTGTGTCTGTCTCTGTTTCTGCCTGTCTCTGTCTCTCTGTCTCCATCTCTTTCTGTGTCTCTCTTAGTGTCTCTCTGTCTGTCTCTGTCTTTCTCTCCATCTCTGTATCTGTCCCTCTGTTTCTGTGTCTCCCTTTCTATCACTGTCTCTCTGTGTTTCTGTCTCTTCATCTCTGTCTCGCTCTCTCTATGTATCTGTCTCTGTTTCTGCTTCTCTGTCTCTGTCTCTCTGTCTCCATCTCTTTCTCTCTCTGTGTCTCTCTTAGTGTCTATCTGTCTCTGTCTTTCTCTCCATCTCTGTATCTGTCCCTCTATTTCTGTGTCTCCCTTTTTCTATCACTGTCTGTCTGTGTGTTTCTGTCTCTTCATCTCTGTTTCCCTCTCTCTCTGTGGGTCTGTCTGTTTCTGCCTCTCTGTCTCTGTCTCTCTGTCTCCATGTCTTTCTCTCCACCTCCCTGTGAGGTGGGAGCCTCACCCTTAGCCCACTGGCTACCACCCTGGTCCACATCTTTCCCCCTAACAGCGACAGACGTAAAAACCACAGCTCCTCCCAGGACACTGCCTCAATGTGGCCCCATTTCTCTTCATCAGATCTCTCCCTTCAATGCTAATAAGTCTGTCTCCAACTCCGCGTTTCTTTTGGGGAAAAAAAAAGGAGAAGAAGGCTGGGCACAGTTGCTCACACCTGTCATCGCAGAACTTTGGGAGGCCGAGGCGGGTGGATCACAAGGTCAGGAGATCGAGACCAGCCTGGCCAGCAGGGTGAAATTCCGTCTCTACTAAAAAACCCAAAAAATTAGCCGGCCATGGTGGCAGACGCCTATGATCCCAGCTACTTGGGAGGCTGAGGCAGGAGAATCGCTTGAAACCAGGCGGCAGAGGTTGCAGTGAGTCAAGATCACGCCACTGCAATTCAGCCTGGGTGACAGAGCAAAACTCTGTCTCAAAAATAAAAGGGGGAAATATTCGATTAATAAACAACAGCCTCACATGTGCTCACCACTGGGTTGAAGCAAAGCCTTCTTCCAAAAGCAAAAATTGGAAAAATATGCTACCGACAGACTGCCCCTAAAGGTAATATTAAACAGGGACTCCAAAGGCAGAAGAGAAGCTGACCCAATGCGACATGAAAATTCAGGAAGGACACAACAGCGGTGAGAACTCAAGATAATGTGAGTAATTGTAAATACATATTGACCTTATAAAACGAGTCATTGCCAAATTTGATCTGGTGACCTGTATAAAATGTCAGCTTCTGAGGGGAGAACACTGTCCACAATAACAACAAGGCTGTACACATAGGCATGGTGGCCTTGGGGAGCGTTTGCCAGGCTGCAAAAGCCACCTCGCAGGTAGGTAGGCTGGAGCCAGGTGGGAGGTGGGTGGGAGCCAGCAGGAGCCGGGGGGCCCTCTCAGGCCGCTTCTCTGGGTAATGTCGTATTCGCCACACAGCAGCCTGGTGGCCCTGCCTGTTGCCTTCGAAAGAGAGCCTGCCATGATCCTGGCTGTTTCTGTCTCCAGGTACGATGAAGAACTGGCCCGGGGTGACAGGGCTGACCGGGAGCTGAGAAGTCGTCAGGGCCAGTCTCTGTGGCCCAGAGCAGGCCGATAGAGAGATCGGGGAGAGCTGTCCTCACCACCTGGAAGTGAGTCCCACCCAGACCTTATCAAAACTACTCACTCCACCTGGGCCGCTGCTGAAGCCCTATTTTGAAATTTCCCTTTTCCAGAGCTTTTTTCCTGTCCTAAGCCCCATAAATAAATGAAGGCACTTCTTTGGAAGGTTATGGAGTCTGTTTGACTAGTGCTAAAGGAAACAATTCACGCAGATGTATAAAACTTGCTTTTTAAAAAAAAATTTAACCTAAGCAGAATTTTCATATTAAAAACTCACTTTTTTTGACAGAAAGTAACAGCTTCAGCATATAATTTGATGTTTCACAAGGTTTAAACATTAAAAAAACTCTAAATTAAAAACAAAACAAATCTTATAGACTAGTCCTGCCATTAGAGAGGAATGTATTTAACTGACAGCTCTTTTAGTTGCGTTTCTTTTTACTTGACTGTGATATTTTTTTTTTTCCTGAGACAGAGTTTTGCTCTGTCACCCAGGCTGGCGTGCACTGGCACAATCTTGGCTCACTGCAACCTCTGCCTCCTGGGTAGGCTCCCAAGTAGCTGGGATTACAGGCATGCGCCACCACACCCGGCTAATTTTTGTATTTTTAGTAGAGATGGGGTTTCACCATGTTGGGCAGGCTGGTCTCAAACTCCTAACCTCAGGTGATCTGCCCACCTTGGCCTCCCAAACTGCTGGGATTACAGATGTGAGCCACCATGCCCAGCTTACTTGACTGTGATTTTGAGGAAAAGAGGCGACTAGAAATATTCCTTTGTAATATATCTTTACAAAGGCCTTTGTCTAGGTGCTCCCAGGAAGACCTGTCTTCTTTTCTTTTCTTTTTTTTTTCTTTTCAGATAGGATCTCTCCCTGTCACCCAGGCTGGAGTGCCGTGGTGCGATCATGGCTCACTGCAGCCTCAACTTCCTGGGCTCAAGTGAGCCACCCGCCTCAGCCTCCGGAGTAGCGGGGACAACACAGGCACACACCACCACCCCCACCTGATTTTTAAAGTCTTTTGGTAGAGACAGAGTTTCACCATGTCAGCCAGGCTGGTCTCAAACTCCTGGGCTTAAGCAATCCACCTGCCTAAGCCTTCCAAAGTGTTGGGATTACAGGCATGAGCCACCATGCCTGGATTCAAAAAGACCTGTTTCTACCACTTCAGTTTTGTGGATGAATCTGTTGTAAATTGAAGCAGATGAGTGAAGACAGGTCCAGCTGTGTGCCTTTTATGAAGTCAGCAGCTGAGTTTGCTGCAGGGAAGTGCCATGGGCAGCCAGGAGCTGTGGGAGGAGTGATGGCTGTGGGGACAGGCTGCACGAACATGGTGTTCCCATGCCGTTTCCCAGTAGCCCAGTGACTTACAGGCGTGTATGGAGAGGACCTGAGTTGGTGGGTAGATGGACAGATGCATCTGAGTAATAACTCATGAGTTACAGTGCTGTTCTTAGGAAGGGTCTTTTTTTTTTTTTTTTTTTTTGAGGTGGAGTTTCACTCTTAACACCCTGGCTGGAGTGCAAAGGCACAATCTAGGCTCACTGCAACCTCCACCTCCTGGGTTCAGGTGATTCTCCTGCCTCAGCCTCCCAAGTAGGTGGGATTACAGGCGCCCACCACCACGCCCAACTAATTTTTGTATTTTTAGTGGAGACAGGGTTTCACCATATTGGCCAGGCTGGTCTCGAACTCCTGATCTCGGGTGATCCTCCTGCCTCGACCTCCGAAAGTGCTGATATTACACGCGTGAGCCACCGCGCCTGGCCAGGAAGGGCCTTTTACTCATGGTCATATTAACACGTATTTGCTGAAGTTTCACTCGCTGTCTTGAGTTTATCTTTAAAGCTTGCCACCTGTTTTTGTTGTGATGCTAGTAACAGGAGTTTGTTCTCCCAAATGGCACCAAGGGTATGTCCTTCAGATAAGGGTCTTCCCTGACTTGCCCAAGCTCTCTCAGTACTCATGCATGGACGTGTGTTAAGTGTACATGCTATATTGTGTGTGTGTATATATGTGTACATATATTTAATGATGTTTCACTGCCAGTTAGGGAAAAATAGGTCTTTTCAACACATATGGTAGAATAGAAAGTGAGAGAAACATACATACAAATGGCACTTGGCTAGACTCCAAATAAACTGCAATTGGTGGACTTTTCAGCCGTTCCTTCTTCATGATCTTATTGGTATGTGTGTTGTGTGTGTTCCCTGGTGTTTAAGTTTTTGTTTTTGTTTTGTTTTGTTTCTTGAGACAGAGTCTTGCTCTGTCGTCCAGCAGGCTGGAGTGCAGTGGTGCGACCTCAGCTCACTGCAACCTCTGTCTCCTGGGTTCAAGAGATTCTCATGCCTCAGCCTCCCAAGAAGCTGGGATTACAGATGTACACCACCATGCCTGGCTAATTTTTGTATTTTTAGTAGAGATGGGGCTTCACCATGTTGGCCAGGCTGGTCTCAAACTCCCAACCTTAGGTGATCTGACTGCCTCAGCCTCCCAGAGTGCTGGGAATACAGGTGTGAGCCACTGCGCCCAGCCGTGGCATTTAGTTTTAATGTGTTTGCTGTTGATGGCGGGTGTGGGATGGAGATCCCCGAGTCAGACTTGGCCTTGTGGCCTGACTCTGCTGTTTATTAGCTGTTTCCCAAGCCTGTCCCTGGGGTCGTTGCACCTTTGTTTCCCACTGTATAAAATGGGGAGTTCAGTGGCCAGGCGCAGTGGCTCATGCCTGTAATCCCAGCACTTTGGGAGGCCAAGGAGGTTGGATCACCTGAGGTCAGGAGTTCGAGACCAGCCTGGCCAACATGGTGAAACCTCATCTCTACTAAAAATACAAAAATTAGCCTGGAGGCTGAGGCAGGAGAATCACTTGAACCCAGGAGGAGGAGGTTGTGGTGAGCCGAGATCGCACCATTACACTAAAGCCTGGGCAATAAGAGCGAAACTCCGTCTCAAAAAAAAAGGGTGGGGAGGAGTTCTGCTTGCCTCAGGAACAACCAGTGTCACTGCACAGGGACCCTGCCCACCCACCTCACTGGCTCTGGCGAGCCCTCTTACCCCCCAGGAGGGGGCATCCTTTGAACAGCTGGCGGCTCCACCTCGGCTCCTACACACAGAGGTGAAAGACACCCTGTTAACTGTTCCCAGCTCTTCCACCGGTTTTTACAACCTGGTTTTCAGTTACATTGTTTTGTTTTTGCCTCTCTCTGGGAGAAGGGTGGAGTCCCTGGTTGGGAACGTTGGCCTCTCAGGCTCTGGGGCCATGTAGTCCTAATGGAAGAGTCACACCAAGTGGTTAGTTTGCTGGTGACCCAGTTGCTAGGTGAGGGTGAGGCTCCGCTAAGTGGATTTATGTCATATAGTGACTGTCTCATTAATGATTTACTGATGTCATGTTCCGGGCAGATGTTTCCTCTGAGCACTTCCAGGACACAGGTGGGAAGGGTGCGGTGTTGGCAGCCAGCCTCGGGAGGCTGTCGGGCCAGGAACAGCCCCACTCAGCGCTAGGCCGGGCCCGAGCAGTGAGCCCTGCTGGGAGCTGTCCAGGAGCCGCTGTTGTTTTCTTGTCAGCCCCCACCCACTTGATGGGATGGGTCCCAGGCCAGAGGGTTGCATCCTGTGGTCGTTTTCACCAAATTTGATAAGATTGGTTTTTCCCAATATAAACCCATCCTCCACTAGGCACAGTAGCTCACGTCTGTAGTCCCAGCACATTGGGAAGCTGAGGTGGGTGGATCACCTGAGGTCAGGAGTTTGAGACCAGCGTGGTCAACATGGTGAAACCCCATCTCTACTAAAAATACAAAAATTAGCTGGGTGTGATGGTTCATGCCTGTAATCCCACCTACTTGGGAGGCTGAGGCAGAAGAATCACTTGAACCCAGGAGGTGGAGGTTGCAGTGAGCCGAGATCGCACCACTGTACTCCAGCCTGGACAATGGAGCAAGACTCCATCTCAAACCAAACCAAACCAAACCAAACCAAACCAAACCAAACCAAACCAAACCACTATCCTTCACCTCCTTTGCACACGGGCTTCTCCCTGGGTATTAGTGAGGGCCTGGTGACAACCTTCTCACTGTCTCCCTTCTCCTCCACCTCCCACCTGGGCTCCCATGGAGACCCCATCAGTCTGGGCCCGCATCTGGTTGCGCTCCACCGGCTGCTAGGACTTTCCTCGCAGGGGGCCATTTCCCCTCCACACAGTGGTTCTTCAGGGGGATCCATAAAGCCTCCTATGCTTGCCGCCCGTTGGCCTGTTGGCTCACACTGCCACACACCATGTCCACAAGCGCCAAACACACGCAACTCCTCTCTGAGTCCTCCCAGGGGCCAGCGCACTCTCCACCCTCCCCTCTGGAGCCATTCCCAGCTGTGTTGCGGCCATCTGGCCCTCTCCCCACAGCACCCCTGCAGCCTCTCTGGTCCGGGCAGGCGAAGGTCTCCTGCAGGGCCCTGCCTGCCGGTAACGGCACAGCGTCTGGGGCTGCTCAGTGACTGGGCACCCTCAGGCTGTTTGTGTGTCGCCTAATGTGGACTGTGCCCCAGCGGAGGGCCCTGGGGCATGTGAGGACCCTTTGTGAGCAGGCGGGAGCACATCCACCTTTGATTCTAGTCCCTCATTGTGGAAGATGAGGGATTTTGATCTTCACTGATTTGCCCCAGCCTGAACCATATTAGATCTCACATCCTGTGAACAATGGCAGCCTCCTGCTTTTGTCCTGAGAAGCATTCGGAGCGCTCCTCCAGTGACAGATGCAAACCCACCTTGCTCATGCTCCTGCCCAGCCACTGGCACTCTGTCAGCAGGAACAAGTCTAGGGGTCCATGGCTTCCCTCAGGCCCAGGCCCACCCTGCCTGCCACTTGGCCAACATTCCCCCCCAAATCCAGTTTAACTCACCTGATCTCCCCTCCCCTCCCCAGGTTCATGCCATTCTCATGCCTCAGCCTCCCGAGTATGTGGGACTACAGGCATCTGCCACCATGCCCAGCTAATTTTTTGTATTTTTAGTAGAGACAGGGTTTCACTGTGTTAGCCAGGATGGTCTCCATCTCCTGACCTCGTGATCCACCCATGTCGGCCTCCCAAAGTGCTGGGATTACAGGCGTGAGCCATGGTGCCCGGCCTAGTTTTTTATTTTTAGTAGAGATGGGGTTTCACCATGTTGGCCAGGCTGGTCTTGAACTCCAGACCTCAAGTGATCCACCAGCCTCCACCTCCCAAAGTGCTGGGATTACAGGCATGAGCCACCATGCCCGAAACACCGTGCCTGGCTTCCAGCCAAATGTTTTTGAGTGATGGCATTAGTGTTCTTAGAGATGTGCCTCTGGGGCAGATCAGAGGATGACGGAGCTGGTGAGAGGCTGGAGGGAGATCTGGCAGTGCAGGCCAGAATGTGAACTCAGGCGGAGCCCTAGGGACAGGAGGAGGGGAGTTGCGCACAGGGAGCCTGCACACTGCGTGGAAGGGGACCTGAAGAGACTAGCAGTTCTCAATGGCCCAGTAGGGGGCGTGTGTTAAACGGGGTTTGAGCCCTGAACGTAGAAGGAGGTAAACTGCCAAGCTGCAGTAACAAACGTGCTTTTCAGAAGCTGTTCAGAAAGGCCACGCTACTCATGGTTATGAATAATGCTGCCTTGAGGCCATGACTGAATAGCAAGAACGTCACTGGGCAGCTTCCCTTCCTGCATCTTGTACTGGTTAAAATGAAATCAGAAATTTTTGTTTTTTTTGAGACAGAATCTTGCTCTGTTGCCCAGGCTGGAGTGCAATGGCCTAATCTCGATTCACTGCAACCTCCACCTCCTGGGTTCCAGTGATTCTCCTGGCTTAGCCGGGATTACAGGCACCTGCCACCATGCCCGGCTAATTTTTGTATTTTTAGTAGAGACGGGGTTTCACCATCTTGGCCAGGCTGGTCTTGAACTCCTGACCTGGTGATCCACCCACCTCCCAGCACTGTATTCCCAAAGTGCTGGGAATACAGGCGCCAGCCACCACGCCCAGCCTGATAGCTCTTTTTTTTTGAGACAGGTTATCGCTCTCTCGTCCAGGCTGGAGTGCAGTGGTATGATCACAGCTCACTGCAGCCTTGACCTCCTGGGGTGATCCTCACACCTCAGCCTCCCAAGTAGCTGGGATTACAGGTGCATGCCACCACACCCTACTAATTTTTATTTATTTTGTTTTACTTTATTTTATTTTATTTTATTTTATTTTATTTTATTTTTTCACACAGAGTCTCACTCTGTCACCCAGGCTGGAGGGCAATGGTGTGGTCTCAGCTCACTGCAACTTCTGCCTTCTGGGTTCAAGTGATTCTCCCGCCTCAGCCTCCTGAGTAGTTGGGATTATAGGCATGTGCTACCACATGCGGCTAACTTTTGTATTTTTAGTAGAGACAGGGTTTCACTATGTTGGCCAGGCTGGTCTTGAACTCCTGACCTCGTGCTCCACCCGCCTCAGCCTCCCAAAGTGTTGGGATTACAGGCATGAGCCACCTTGCCCAGCTGCTAATTTTTTATTTTTTTGCAGCCACAGAGTCTCACCATGTTGCCCAGGTTGGTCTTGAACTCCTGGCCTCAGGCAATTGGCCTGCCTTGGCCTCCCAAACTGCTGGGATTACAAGTGTGAACCACTGCTCCCCTGAAGTGGTATCTTATTTTGGTTTTGATTTGCATTTTTTCTGACGGCTAATGAGGTTGAGTATCTTTTCATGTGCTAATTGGCCATTTGTATACCTTCCTGGGAGAAACTGTTCTGATTTTTTTTTTTCTTGAGACAGGGTCTTACTCCATCACCTAGGCTGGAGCACGGTGGCACAATCACAGCTCAGTGCAGCCTCAACCTCCCAGGCTCAGGTGATCCTCCCAGGCAGAACCACTTCAGCCTCCCAAGTAGCTAGAACTACAGGCATGTGCCACCATGCCCGGCTAATTTTTTTGTATTTTTTGTAGAGATGGGGTTTTGCCATGTTGCCCAGGATGGTTTCAAACTCCTGGGCTCGGCCGGGTGTGGTGGCACATGCCTGTAATCCCAGCACTTTGGGAGGCCGAGGCGGATGGATCACAAGATCGAGACCATCCTGGTTAACATGGTGAAACCCCGTTTCTACTAAAAATACAAAAAATTAGCCGGGCGTGGTGGTGGGTGCCTGTAGTCCCAGCTACTCAGGAGGCTGAGGCAGGAGAATGGCGTGAACCGGGGAGGCAGAGCTTGCAGTGAGCCGAGATCACGCCACTGTACTCCAGCCTGGGGACAGAGCGAGACTCCGTCTCAAAAAACAACAACAACAACAACAACAACAACAAAAAACAAAGAAAACAAACAACAACAAAAAAACCCAAAAAAAACCATAATAATAGTGATAAGGCCGGGTGCGGTGGCTCATGCCTGTAATCCCAGCACTTTGGGAGGCTGAGGCGGGAAGATCACGAGGTCAGGAGTTTGAGACCAGCCTGGCCAACACAGTGAAACCCCGTGTCTACTAAAAATACAAAAATTAGCTGGGCGTGGTGGCGGGCGCCTGCAATCTTCTCAGACTCCCAACCACCGGCTCCTGAGCCGCGGCAACTCCGTGTCACCTTTTCACCGCCCCCCACCTAGCCCCAAATCCCCAATCCAGGCCCAAATCCCCGCTCCAACCCCCAATCCGCGATCCAATCCCCCATCCGCGATCCCAAATCTGCGATCTAGCCCAGAATCCGCGATCCAGCCGGGTCCACCACAGCCTTCAGCAGCGACACTCCCAGCTTCCGACCTCTTAGATCCACTGAGCCTCGCAAGGGCATTAGCAGCGCCCTTGCACGGCGGGGGCCGCCCGGCTCCCAGAAGCCGCTCCCAGGCGGCGCGCCGGCAGGTGGGGCTCCAGCCCGGGGCAGTCGCCGCTGGGCTCGCGGGTTCTCCTGAGCTGGTCCGGGCTGCCCCAGGACCACAGGCGCAGGATCGCAGGCGCGCAGCCTGCCCGGCCTCAGGAGCAGGGCCTGTCTGGCCGTGCAGCCCCACTTAATCTTAATAGCAAATAAAACTCAACAGTATGCTGTGGTATATTCTACAATGATTCTACACAATTGTAGATTGCATTAGGATAATGTTTTTTAAAATTATTTTCTCGGTAACAAATGGACACTCAAAATTTTATTTATTTTAATTTTATTTTTTTTTTAAACAGAGTTTCACTCTTGTTGCCCAGGCTGGAGTGCAATGGCGCGATCTCGGCTCACTGCAACCTCCGTCTGCCGGGTACAAGTGATTCTCCTGTCTCAGCCTCCTAAGTAGCTCGGATTACAGGCATGCGCCACCACACCCGGCTATTTTGTGTGTGTGTGTGTGTGTGTGTGTGTGTGTGTGTGTGTATATATATTTAGTAGAGACAGGGTTTCATCATGTTAGGCTGGTCGCAAACTCCTGACCTCAGGTGATCCACCTGCCTTGGCCTCCCAAAAGGCTGGGATTACAGGAGTAAGCCACTGCGCCTGGGCAAAATTTTATTTTTTAATAATGCCAAGTGATTTCATTTTAAATTAAACTGCACCATAAATTGGATTATTTTCCTGCATGAGTACCTTGCTCTTCAAACAAAAACATTTTTTGAAGACCAAATATATTGCATAGTTTTTTTTAAAAAAGCTCTGCCTGTGTGCATTGGCTTACGCCTGTAATCCCAACACTTTGTGGAGGCTGAGGGAGGAGGACTGTTTGAACCCAGGAGTTTGAGACTGGCCTGGGCAACACAGTGAGACACTGGCTCTACAATAATCTTTCTTTAAAAGTTAGCCAGGTATGGTGGTGCACAGCCATGGTCCCAGACACTTGGGAGGTTGAAGTGGGAGTATAGCTTGATCCTGGGAGGTTGAGGCTGCAGTGAGCTATGATTGCACTCCCGCCTGGGTGACAGAGCAAGAGTCTGTCTCAAAAAAATGTTCTTACTGTATAAGAATTATGAATGACATTTATTTTATGTTAAAACAGTATATTTTATCTACAAAAGGAGTAAAAGACAGTAATAGAAAAATTGGCACATAAACAAAAATGCTAAAAAATTCAAATTTACCAATAATCCTATCACCTAAATTGATAATTTTTAATATAATTAAATGTAGGATTTTAAAATAAATTTCTTTTAATTTATTTATTTAAACATATAGATTATTTTTAGACCCTCTTCAGACATCCCCCATTGAATAAGTTCCATGATTTACAGGCCTACTCTCTCTATGGTTAAATACTGTATTGCTTTCAATGAACAACATTTTTTATAAACATTTTCACAGAAACAAATTTGGGCACATTGAGACATGTTTTCTTTTCAAAAAGTCCTAGCACTTTAATTACTGTGTAAAGAGATATTAGTGTATAATTTTCACACATATTGACTAACATCCCTGCAAAATGTTGAATCAATTTATACTTTCAGCACCAATCGGCAAATTAATGTCCATTATGCTTTCGCTTCACCAAAACTGATACCTATATTTTATTTTGCTAGACAAAAATACATATTATCTTAATTTGTGTAACTGTATTTAATAGAAAGATTAAATTTTTTTCAGATGTATCATAGGGCATCATTTTTTCTTGAGTCTGGTGGGTGCTTAGTTCCTTTAAAGCATTAATCATGTATACATTAATTTTATGTGCAAAACAATCATTAAGTACAATTTGAAATATGGAAAAATAAATAGCTGGATTAAGAAAAAAACAAATAGAGCTTCTGGAATTAAAACATCCACTAATGGA
The DNA here is from genome assembly GCF_000001405.40 of Homo sapiens. Taxonomy (NCBI): domain Eukaryota; kingdom Metazoa; phylum Chordata; class Mammalia; order Primates; family Hominidae; genus Homo; species Homo sapiens. The sequence goes on from NC_000021.9 coordinate 10,407,511, forward strand.
ATTTCAAAACACAGTTGGAATCTTTAACAATAAACTAGACTAAGCAGAAGAAATAATTTTAGACTTTGAAAACTGGTCTTGCAAAGTAACCCAGACAAAAATAAAAGAAAAAAGAACTGAAAAACAAAGCCCTTAAGAAATGTGGGATTATGTAAAGTGACCAAACTTATAACTTATTGGCATTCCTACAACAGAAGAATAAAAAGTAACCAACTAGGAAAGTATATTTAGGGGAATAATTTAGGAAAAGTTCTCTAGTCTTGCTAGAAAGGTTGACATTCAGATATAAGAAATTCAGAGAACACCTGTGGGATAGTAAATAAGATGCCCATTCCTAAGGCATCCACAGTCATTAGAATAGCCGTGGTCAATGCACAAGAAAATATATTAAAGGCAGCCCAAACAAAGGGCCAAATTACCTATAAATTAAATTAGATTAACAACAGACTTATCAGCAGAAACACTGCAACCTAGAAAAGATTGGGGTCTAGCGTTAGCCTTCATAAAGAAAAAAAAATGCCATCCAATAATTTCTTTTTTTTGGAGACAGAGGCTCACTTTGCCACCCAGGCTGGAGTGCAGTGGTGTGATCTCAGCTCACTGCAACCTCTGCTTCCTGGGTTCAAGCAATTCTCCTGCCTCAGCCTCCCCAGTAGCTGGGATTACAGGTGCCCGCCACCACACCTGGCAAATTTTGGTATTTTTTAATAGAGATGGAGTTTCTTCATGTTGGCCAGGCTGGTCTTGAACCCCTGACCTCAGGTGATCTGCCTGCCTCAGCCTCCCAAAGTGCTAGGATTACAGGCATGAGCCACTGCACCCAGTCATGCAAGAAGTTCATAACCTGCCAGATTGAGCTTCATAAAGAAAGGAAAATAAGATATTTCCAGACAAGAAAATGCTAAGGGAAGTCATTACCTCCAGACTGACTCTAAAAGAAATGTTTAAAGGAGTTTGACTCGTGAAAATAAAAGAATGATACTTGCTACCATAAAAGCATCCATGAATACAAAATGTACAGAACCTATAAAGCAATTAAACAATTGAGACTACAAGGTAACTAGCTAATGCTATAAAAGGAAGAAAACCTAACACATCAATATTAAGCTTGAATGTAAATGGCTGAAATGCTCCACTTAAAAGACACAGAGTGGCAAACTGGATAAAAAAACAAGACACTTCTGCTGCCTTTGAGAGACCCATCTCATGTGTAATGATACCAACAGGCTCAAAGTAAATGGATGGAAAAAGATTCATCACATAAATGAAAAACAAAAAAGGAGAGGTATTGCTATTCTTGTATCAGATAAAACAGACATTAAACTAACAACAGTAAAAAAAATACAAAGAATGACATTATATAATGATGAAGTGTTCAATTCAACAAGAAGACTTAACTGTCTTAAATATATATGCAGCCAACATTGGAGCACCCAGATTTTTAGAATAAATATTACTAGACCTAAGAAAAGAGATACACAGCTGTACAATAATCGTGGAGGACTTCAACACCCCACCGACAGCAGTAAGGAGATTAGTTAGGCAGATTATTAGGCAGAAAACTAACAATGAAACTGTGGACTCAAATTGGGCTCTTGACCAAACAGACCTAATAGATATCTACAGAATACTCCACCCAGAAACCATAGAACGTACATTTTTCTCATTTGCACATGGAACATTCTCTAAAATTGACCACATGCTCAGTCATAAAATAAGCCTCAATAATTTTTTAAAAATCACAACTATATTAAGTATCTTCTCAGACCACTGTGGAATAAAATTAGAAGTCAATATCGAGAACTCGCAGAACCACAGAGGTACATGGAAACTAAACAATCTGCTCGTGAATGACTTTTGTGTAAATAACAGAACTAAGGCAGAAATTTAAAGAAATTCCTGAAACAAATGAAAATAGAAACATAACATACCAAAACGTCTGTGATACAGAAAAAACAATGTTAAGAGGAGAGTTTATAACACTAAATGCCTACATAAAAAGAGAGAAAGACCTCAAATTAACAAGCTAAAATAGCCAAACACACTAGAAAAGAACAAACCAAACCCAAAGCTAGTAGAAGGAAATAACAAAGGTTAGAGAATAAGGTAATGAAATCAGGACCAAAAAAGCCATACAAGGAATCAGCAAAATTAAAAAGTTGGTTCTTTGCAAGGACACATACAAATGATAGATTGCTAGTTAGATTATGCAAGAAAAAAGAAGATTCAAATAAGCACAATCAAAAATGACAAATGAGACATTGCAAAGGATACCACCGACATAAAAAAAGATCCTCAGAATATCTTTGTGTGCAGAAACTAGAAAACCTAGAGAAAATGGATACATTCCTGCAAACACACCACCTTCCAAGACTGAATCAGAAAGAAACCAAAAGTCCACTAGGGCCAGTGCCAACAGGAAATGTGGGATTGAAGCCTCCAGAGTCCCCACTGGGGCACTACATACTGGAGCTGTGGGAATGGGGCTGCCACCTCGAGATCCCTGAATGGTAGAGCCATGGGAAGCTTTCATCCTGAGCCTAGAAATACCACAGGCACGCAACTCTGATCCAAGACAGCAGCCATGGTGACTGTACACTGCAAAGCCACAGAGGCAGAGCTGCATAAGGTCTTGGGAACCCACCCCTTGCACAAGTGTGCCCTGGATGCGGGACATGAAATCAAGAATTATTTTGGAGCTTGAAGGTTTAATGTCTGCCCTACTGGGTTTCAGATTTGCCTGAGGCCTGTTGCCCCTTTCTTTTGCCCAACTTCTCCATTTGGGAATGGGAATATTTACCCAACACCTGTACTGCATTGAATATTGGAAGCAAATAAGTTGGTTTTGATCTCATAGGCTCATAGATGGAGGAATGTACCTTGAAGCTCAGATGAGATTTTGGACTTTTGAGTTGATGCTGAAACAGCTTGAGATTTTTGGGGACTACTGGGAGAGGATAATTGTATTGTGCAATATGAGAAGGACATGAGATTTGGGAGCCATAGGGATGAAATGACATTGTATTGTGCAATATGAGAAGGACATGAGATTTGGGGGCCATAGGGGTGAAATGACATTGTTTGGATGTGTTTACCCTCCAAATCTCCTGTTGAATGTGATCTTAAATGTTGGTGGTGGGCCTAGTGGAAGGTGTTGAATCATGGGAGTGGACCCTTCATAAATTGCTTAGCTCCATCCCCTTGGCGATCAGCGAGTCCTTGCTCTGTTGTGTCGCACGAGAGCTGGTTGTTTAAAACACCCTGCCATGTTCCCCTTCTTGCTCTTGATTTCTCTCTTGACACGTGATACCCTGGCCCTCCCTTTGCCTTCCTCTGTGATTGGATGCTTTCTGAGGTCTCACCCAAACCTGAGCAGGTGCTGGTCCCATGCTTCTACTGCCTGCACAACTATAAACCAAATAAATATTTTTTCTCTATAAATTTAAAAAAATCTGAACAGACCAGTAGTTAATTATGAAACTGAATTTGTATTAAAAATATTTATCAAGCAGGAGAAGCCCAGGACTAGATGAATTCACAGCTGAATTCTACCAAACATAAAAAAAATAGATGGTATCAATCAAGGAATTCCTCTCTAACTCATTCTACAAAACCAGTATCATCCTGACACTAAAATCTAGCAAGGAAACAACAACAACAAACTACAGGCCAATATCTGATGAACATAGATGCAAATATCCTCAACAAAATGCTAGCAAACCAAATCCATCAGCATATCAAAAATGTAATTCATCATCATTACATAGGTTTTATTCCTGAGATGCAAGGACTATTTAACATATGCAAATCAATAAATGTGATTTACCACATAAACAAAATTTAAAACAAAAATCATATGATTATCTCAATAGATGCAGATAAAAACATTCAATAAAATTCATCATCCTTGCCAGGTGCAGTGGCTCACACCTGTAATCCCAGCACTTTGGAAGGCAGAGGTGGGGCAATCAACAGAGGTCGGGACCAGCCTGACCAACATGGAGAAACCCCATTTAGAACTAAAAATGCAAAATTAGCTGGGCGTCGTGGCGCATGCCTGTAATCCCAACTACTCAGAAGGCTGAGGCAAAAGAATGGCTTGAACCCGGGAGGTGGAGGTGGCAGTGAGCCAAGATCACACCACTGCACTCCAGCCTGGGCAACGGAGCGAGACTCCATCTCAAAAAACCAAACCAAACTAAACCAAAACAAAAAAAACCCTGAAATCATATCAATTATTTTTTCTGACCGGAATGGAAGAGTATTAAAAAATCAGTAACAGGAGGAATTTTTTTCCCGACCGTCTTTGGCTCCCTCTCTCGCCACCCTTTTTCTTCCTCCATCTACCCCAAAACTTTTTCCCCACCATTTTTTCCCCATTGTCTTTTTGCAAAGCCTTCTATACTATACCGCTCACTTCCGTTTTCCCCACCCATCTACCCCAAAACTTGTCCCCACCGTGTTTTCTCCCTCTCTCTGGCCACCCTTTTTTCCGCCTCCCGCTCTCATCATCCTCTTTTGCTCCTTCATCTCCCCAAAAACATTTCCCTCATCTTTTCCCAAAGCCTTCTCCCCACTCCTGCTGCTCGCCACCCTCTCTTTCCCCTTCCGTCTACCCAAAAACTGTTTCCCTATCGTCTTTTTTCCCTTCCTCCTTGCCACCCTTTCCCTTCTCCATCTACCCAAAAACATTTTCCTGCCGTCTTTTTGCAAAGCCTCTTCTCTACTCCTGCTCACCACGCTCTTTTAACCCATCTACCTCCCCAATTTTTCCCTGCCATCTTTTCACAAAGCCTTCCCCTCTTCCCGCTCGCCCTCTTCTTTCCTCTATCCTGCTTGCCACCCTCTTTTTGCCCTCCATCTACCCCAAACTATTTTCCCCATCGCCTTTTTCCCAGTCCTCTTTCCCCACTTCCTCTGGCCACACTTTCTATTCTCCTCCCACTTGCCACCCTCTTTTCCCCCTCCGTCTACCCAAACACTTTTTAGCCACTGTCTTTTCTTTCTACACTTTCTTTTCTGCCTATCGTCTTTTAGCAAAACCTTTTCTCTTTCCGGCTCGCCACTCTCTTTACCCTTCTCCCACTGGCCACCCTCTTTCCCCCCTCCATCTACCCAAAAGCTTCTCTCCTCACTGTCTTTTCACAAAACCTTCTCTCCCTCCTGCTCGCCACTCTCTCTTCCCCCTCCCTCTCTGCACCCTCTTTTCTCCTCCCACTTGTCACCCTTTTCCCCCCTCCATCACTCAAAATCTTTTTACCCACAGTCTTCTTTCCCTTTCTTCTCTCCCCACCATATTTTTGCAAACCTTCTCTCCTTCCTGCTCATCCCCGTTCCCCCCTCACGACCCTCTCTTACCCCCTTCCATCTACCCAAAAACTTTTTCCCCACCATCTTTCTGTGAAACCTTCTCTCCCTCCTGTTTACCACCCTGTTTTTCCCCCTCCATCTACCCCCCAATTTTTTTTCCCAACATCTTTTCCTCACCGTCTTTATGCAATGACTTCTCCGGCTCGCCATCCTTTTTTCCTTTTGGCACTAACCACCCTCTTTACCCTTCCATCTATCCCAAAACTATTTTCCCCTTCCTACCTTTCCAGCCACACTACAGTGTCTGTCGCCACCAACTGCAGGGAGGCCAGCCACGGTGCAGCAGGCTACAGCCTCCAGTCTGTCCTGGTCCTCTAAGCCGGGCTCGGAGCAGCTCGGTGAGCAGACACAGAAGAACCTGGAACAGCCTGACTCTTCTTCAGCCCCATTTATGTACTGAAGTTATGCATATGCGGTTCGTGGACTACACTTTCCAGGATTGGATAAGAGAAAGCCCGGAGGCCTACTCTGATTGGACTTTGTTATCATGTTCTGATTGGATGAAAGTCTTAGGACAACCAATTAGAGTATGAAAATAAAGTCCAATCAGAGAAGGCCTAGAGATTTTCTCTCACCCAATCAGAACATGTAGTCCAGAAACCATGCGCGTAACCCCATGTGCATGCCGAGCAGGCCTCACGCCAGTTTAGGGTCTCTGGTATCTCCCGCTGAGCTGCTCTGTTCCCGGCTTAGAGGACCAGGAGAAGGGGGAGTTGGAGGCTGGAGCCTGTAACACCGTGGCTCGTCTCGCTCTGGATGGTGGTGGCAACAGAGATGGCAGCGCAGCTGGAGTGTTAGGAGGGCGGCCTGAGCGGTAGGAGTGGGGCTGGAGCAGTAAGATGGCGGCCGGAGCAGTAAGATGGCGGCTGGAGTGGTAAGATGGCGGCTGGAGTGGTAGGAGTACAGCCTGAGTGGTAGGAGGGTGGCTGGCAGCTGGAGCTGCTCTTGACCGGCTAGAGATCTAGGAGAAGGTGGGGACTGTGCCCAACGCTGGAGGCTGCAGCCTTGGCCACCGCGGCTCGCCTGGCTACGGTTGGTAGTGGTGACGGAGACTGCATCTCTGTTAGAGTAGTAGAAAGGTGGCAGGGTAGGTGTGCTCTCTGCGGCTGCACTGCCTGCTTGCGGGGTGGTGGGGGAGCGGGTTTGGTGTGCTTTTGGAGCTGCACTCCCTGCCGTGGGGGGCTGGTGGGTGGCACTATCAGGTGTTGAATTGCTGGCAGTGGGGCAGGTTTGCTGCGCTATCAGAGTCTACACTGCCTAAGGTGGTGGGGGGTTGGAGGCAGGTTGTGTGTGCCGTCGTGCACTGCCAGCGGAAGGTGGTGGGGAATTAGGGGCATTATTAGCTGCTACACTGGCCGATGCAGGGGGCGGGTTGGGTGAGCTATCATGAGCTACAATGTCAGCAACAATGCCAACTGGCAGGCAGTCGGGGGTGCTTTAGGGGAGCTGTGAAATGTTGCATTGTCCATGGAGGAAAGGGGAACTTCTGCTCGTGTTGGAACGCGGAGGGTGCACAGAGTTTTTGTGGCAATCCTCTGACCACCGCAGGGCCCTCACACCCACCATGGTTACCCGGCCCTTGCCCTCTTGCTCTGTGTTGTGGGGACCATCTGGGAGCCCCAGGCATGGAGTAGTGGGCACCATGGGGGCTCAGGGTCCTGTGGGTGGAGGAGTCAGGAATGGGAACTGGTACTTGGGTGGGGAGGACTGGCTGGGTCTGAGTTTCTGCTGTTCTTGCTCCCCAACTAGCCTCGGACACTGTGGTGTCTCCAGTCCCCACCCCAGGTCAGGAGGCCAGCTTGGTCTAGGAGGAGAGGCTGGACTTTGGAGGGTGGGTGTGAGTGCCTTCGCTGAAACTGGCCCCAGCCACCCAGTGGGCAGCATGACAGGGTGAGGCTCTAACACTGCCACTTTCTGCATCCTATTGTAGGTTTTTCTGGCATTGTCTGCCCAGCTGCTCCAAGCCAGGCTGATGAAGGAGGAGTCCCCTGTGGTGAGCTGGAGGTTGGAGCCTGAAGATGGCACAGCTCTGTGAGTTTCGTTCTTGTTGCCCAGGCTGGAGTGCAATGGTGCAATCTCTGCTTGCTTGAACCTCTGCCTCCTGGGTTCAAGTGATTCTTCTGTCTCAGCCTCCCGAGTAGCTAGGATTACAGGCAGGCGCCACCATGCCCGGCTAATTTTGTATTTTTAGTAGAGATGAGGTTTTACTGTGTTGGTCAGGCTGGTCTTGAACTCCCAACCTCAGGCGATCCACCTGCCTCAGCCTCCCAGAGTGCTGGGATTATAGGTGTGAGCCACCATGCCCAGCTGCAACTCTTCTTTTTACCTTTCCTTTTCCCTTTATGTGCTTACATCTGTCATTTCTAACATTGACATTGTCAAGGTTGAGAACAGTTATGCACTGTATTGTACTCCTTACTGCTTTGTTTCTTTCTTTATTTATTTTTTTGAGACAGTCTTGCTCTGTTGCCCAGGCTTGAGTGCAGTGGTGCGATCTTGGTTCACTGCAACCTCCGCTTCCTAGGTTCAAGCTATTCTCCTACCTCAGCCTTCCAAGTAGCTGGGACTACACGCGCCTACCACCATGCTTGGCAAATTTTTGTATTTTTAGTAGATATGGGGCTTCTCCATGTTGGCCAGGCTGGTCTTTAACTCCTGACCTCAACTGATCCACTTGCCTTGGCCTCTCAAAGTGCTGGGATTACAGGTGTGAGCCACTGCACCTGGCCTGTATGACTTTATTTTAATACTTGAAAGTTAATGGGCTGGACGTGGTGGCTCACACCTGTAATCCTGGCACTTTGGGAGGCTGAGGCGGGCTGATCACCTGAGGTCGGGAGGCCGAGACCAGTCTGGCCAACATGGTGAAACCCCATCTCTACTAAAAATACAAAAATTCGTGGTGGCGTATGCCTGTTATCCCAGCTACTTGGGAGACTGAGGCAGGGAGAATTGCTTGAACCCGGGAGGTGGAGGTTGCAGTGAGCAGAGATGGTGCCATTGCACTCCAGCCTGGGTGACAGAGGGAGACTCTGTCTCAAAAACAAAACAAAACAAAACAAAACTTAAAAATGGTTAGGCACTGTGGCTCATGCCTGTAATTCCAGTACTTTGGGAGGCCAAGACAGGAGGATCACTTGAGCACAGGAGTTCGAGACTAGTCTGCTGGGCAGCATAGTGAGACACTGTCTCTAACTGGGGGGAGGAAAAAAAAAGCCAGGTGTGCGGCCACGTGCCTATAGTCCCAGCTACTCGGGAGGCAAGATGGGAGGATTACTTGAGCCCAAAAGGTTGAGATTGCAGTGAGCCATGGTTGCGCCACTGCACTCCAGCCAGTGCGACAGAGCAAGACCCTGTCTCAACAAACAAAAACCCTCAAAATTTTTTTAATGCTACTAATGTAGTGAGTCATATTAAGTGGGATTATACATGTACCAAACTTATTTTTTCTTGAGTGACATTATTTCATGGTTATTTTAATTTGCATGCCTTATGATTGAGTTAAATTGATGATATTTGTCACATTTTTTTTTGCAAACTGCCTACCAGTACCCTATTTTGGGTACTTTGCAGCTTCAAATAACAAAAATTTTAATTAAAAATGGCTTAAACTATAAATAAAATTTACCTCACATGACTAGAAGTCCAGGTGTAATTCAATGGCTCAATTAAATTGTCACGGACCTAGATGGTTTTCATTTTCCTGCTGTTTTATACTCAGCTTGTTGTTGATAGTTGCTAAATTAATTCACTTAAATAATCATTTAGCACCTACAATGTATTAGGCAATATTCTATAAGCACAGGAAATACAGCAGTGAGCAAAACAAAGTTCATTGCCTTCCTTCACGGAGCTGATATTTTAGTGGGGATAAGGGAGAAGACAGTCAAACAAATAGGTAGAATTTATAGGTTGTCAGAAGACGTTAAGTTTTATGGAAAAAAATAAAGCCATGGAAGGGACGGGAAGGGCTGGGTTGGATTATTTTAAGTGGGGCCATCAGAGAAGGCCTCAGTGAGCTGATGTTTGAATAGAATCTTAAAGGAAATAAGAATGCAAAGGCAATCATTTGGGGAAAGAGTATTGCTGATGCAGGGAACAGTGAGTGCAAAAGCCCCAAGGCAGGAATGTGCTTAGCATGTTCATAGAACTGAAAGGGCTAATGTGGCAGGAGCTGAGTTATGGAGAAAACATCATAAGAGAAGTAGCATGGGGAGTCAGATTGTGCAGGGCCTTGTAGACCATTGTGAGATCTTTTGACTTTTACTCTGGATTAGATGAGAGTCCTTTGGGGGCTTTTGAGTGGAGGACTGGCTTTATCTGACCAAGACTCTCAAACTCTCATGCTGGCTGCTGTGTTGAGACTAGAATGAAGGAGATCAAGGAAGAAGCAGGCATGTTAGTTAAGATAATATTAGCAGGGTGACAGATGATTTGAAGCATGATAGGCATCAGAGAAATGTTGAAGTAATTCTGCATATGTTGAGGCAGAGCCCAAAAGATTTGTTGAGGGATGTGGCATGTGAGAAAAAGAGGATTCGTAGTTCACACCAGGTTCAATGACCAGTAAAGATGAAGTATATTTGTTCATGCACATCTATTTTATTTGGAATTAAAAACCTTTCCTGGAAGCCCTTAGCAGATTTTTTTTTTCTTTTTTTGAGACGGAGTTTTGCTTCTTGTTGCCCAGGCTGGAGTGCAATGGCACGATCTCGGCTCACTGCACCGCATCCTCTGCCTCCCGGGTTCAAGCGATTCTCCTGCCTCAACCTCCCGAGTAGCTGGGATTACAGTTGTGCACCACCATGCCCGGCTAATTTTGTTTTTTTAGTAGAGACAGGGTTTCTCCGTATTGGAACAGGCAGGTGATCTGCCTGCTTCAGCCTCCGAAAGTGTTGGGATTACAGGCATGAGCCACTGCGCTCGGCCAACAGATTTTTTTCTTAAATCCCATCAACCGTGACTGGTATCCATCCATGTCCTAGGTACAAGTGAGGGTGAGAGAGCAAGGATGTTCCTTTCAGCCATGATAGTGGGAGGTGAACTCTGTAAGGAACAGGTTGTGAGTGGGGAGTGGCTATTGGTTAGGTAACTAATAGTCTATTTGTCATTGCCCATTTTTCTGTTAAGTTGATCATCCTTTTTAAATGATTTGTAAATAATTTTTGCATGCTAAGAAAATAAGTATTTGTTATATAATTCTAGATTCTAAATATTTTGAAGCTGTAAATGAGGTTTTAAACTCTGAGATCAGTTTTCTAATTTTGAAATAAAGTGAATCTCCATTGAAATTTACAAGTAGGGGCTGGTGATTGCAGAGTCCAATGCATAATTTATAGTTTTTCCTATTCTGGGTGCTGTTGCGATTTTAACCTGAATGCCAGGTAGTTATCTTTATAAAACTATCATGTGTGAGTTATAGAGGTAGCATTGGGGTGGTGGAAAAAAACACACTGTGCCTCTATATGTGCAGTTTTGCCAGAGGCAATTTTTATTCTTATATTTATTTATTTATTTATTTATTTATTTATTTATTTATTTATTTATTTTTTGAGGTAGGATCTCACTCTGTCACCCAGGCTGGAGTGCAGTGATGCAATCATGGCTCCTTGCAGCCTCAGCCTCCCTGGCTCAAGTGATCCTCCCTCTACTCAGCCTCCACAGTAGCTGGGACTACAAGTGCATACCACCACACCCGGCTAATGTTTAAATTTCTACTAGAGACAAGATATCACTATGTTGCCCTTTCTTCCTTCGCCAAAGAAAGCTGATAAACTGGCTTATTATATAACAAGGAATTCTCATTTTATTCTATTTATATTGTATTCTTATTCTTTAATTTCAGTGATGCAAAGCAGTGTTTTTTGGAGGTTTTGAGTGTGAGCTTTCTCATCAGACACTGAAGTTTTTGAGCCTTAACTCCATTACTTAATTAGCTGTGTGACCCACACCACTTCATTGTACAGCTCCGTTCTTGTGCTGGGGAGGGCATTCACACAAAATACAATGAAATTGTGCTTTCTGGTGGTTCTGATGTGGCTTTAGGCAAGTTCATTAAACACTGCGCTTTCAATAAGATAATGCATGTGGAATGCTGAGCACAGTGCCTTTAAGACACTTAATGGGATATGAGAACAGTTCCATAGCCCTTCATTTTTAATTTTGATTAAGAGTTGTTTACTAATAACTAACTGGGTGAGTTATAAATGGAGAAGTAGGGTCACTGTGAAGTGGCTATGAAATAGCACAGAGGATATATTTAAAAAGCTGTATTTTTACTACATATTTTCAAACTACATATTTCATTTTAGTTTGGAGAACTTTACTGAAGAATAAAGAAGTAGTAGTATGTGAGTTTGGATCATTTCTATGGTTAGGTGGTGGCTGCACTAAGGCCTTTCCAATGCTTAGTCCTGTGAGAGGTAGATAGCGTTGTGGGGGGTAGGGGAGAACAGATAAATGAGATACATTTATATTTTTTTGCATGGTAACTTATAAGGCATTGCCAAGAGAGGGAATTCATTGGAGGCAAAGAAAAATATAAAACATAGTGTATATAGGGCTTTGTAGCATCCGTGGTTTCAGGCATTTATGGGAGCCAGGCAGGGGTGGGGTATGGGGTTGAAATGTATTTCCTATGGATAAGCACAGGACTACTTTATACCACTTAATCCAAGACCCTTTTGCTGGTGAGGAATCCAGCATTTAAATTTATGTATGTATATGATAAAGCTAGACTTTTTCCAGATCTGAGACTCAAAGCTCTTTGTATTTTCATTTATACTCCAGCTCTTTTGAGGAGCTTTAAAGTCTAGTTACAAAGACAGGAAAAACAAGAACGGACATAGTGGCTCACGCCTGTAATCCCAGCACTTTGGGAGGCTGAGGCCGAGACCAGCTTGGTGAATATAGTGAAACCCCGTTATCAACTAAAAATACAAAAATTAGCCCGGTGTGGTGGTGTGTGCCTGTAATCCCAGCTACTCAGGAGGCTGAGGTAGGAGAATTGCTTGAACCTGGGAGGCAGAGGTTGCAGTGAGCTGTGCCACTGCACTCCAGCCTGTGTGCCAGAGACTCTGTGTCAAAGAAAAAAGGCCGGGCACGCGGTGGCTCATGTCTGTAATCTCATTGCTTTGGGAGGCCGAGGCAGGCAGATTACCTAAGGTCAGGAGTTCGAGACCAGCCTGTTCAACATGGCAAAACCCTGTCTCTACTAAAAATACAAAAATTAGCTAGGCGTGGTGGCAGGCACCATAATCTCAGCTACTCGGGAGGCTGAGGCGGGAGAATGGCTTGCACCCGGAGGCGGAGGTTGCAGTGAGCTGAGATGGCACCAGTCAGTGCACTTCAGCCTGGGTGACAGAGCGAGACTCTGTCTCAAAAACAAAAAGCAAACAAAAAACAAACAACAACAAAAAACCTAGGAAAAACATACATGCAACAGAATGTTAAAGACGAGATTCTAAGGCTTTTTTTTTTTTTTTTTTGGAGACAATCTCACTCTGTCGCCCAGGCTGGAGTGCAGTGGTGCGATCTTGGCTCACTGCAGCCTCCGCCTCCCTGGTTCAAGCAGTTCTCTGCCTCAGCCTCCCAAGTAGCTGGGATTACAGGCGCCTGCCACCACGCCTGGCTAATTTTTGTAGTTTTAGTAGAGATGGGGTTTCACCATCTTAGCCAGGCTGGTCTTGAACTCCTGACCTCGTGATCCATCTGCCTCAGCCTCCCAAAGTGCTGGGATTACAGGCGTGAGCCGCTGCTCCTGGCAGAGATTCTAAGTTTTTTGAGAATAGTGACTGTGTTTCTTGGGTCATGGCTCTATCTTATACATCTGGCACAGTGTGTGTGTGTAGCAGGTGTTTAATATTTGTTAAACACAAGTGGTCCTTAATATCAAACAGCATGGGATTTAAGACATGAACTTAGGTTTGAGTCTCAGCACTTTCACTTCTTAGTTGTATGACCTTGGCCATTTAATCTCTTTGATCTTGAATTTCCTTATCCGAAAAATAGGGGACATACTAATTAACATCTATTGTGATGGGTTGTAATGAGAATTAAATGATAATGTGTACAAAATACCTAACTTGATTGGATTTGTGGTACGCAGTAGCTATAATGACCATTTTAACCCCAATATGAGAAGGATTCACTCATCACACTGTTGTATACTTCGTAGCTATTACTTCTTTAATCCCCAAGGACTTAACAAAGTGTTCTTCAGTTTCTACTTCCCAGTTCCTTTGTGGAACTGGTAAAAATTTAAAATATCTTAACATAATATTTTATTTCAAATGATAAACTGTAAGGTAAAATGCGGTTTTTCTTGGACAACAAATGGTAGAATGATGTCTAGAATATTTAGTTATGTCATTTAATACTTTTTCTCTTTACCATTTTTTTAAAAAATATTTTATTTTAGATTCGGGGGTACACATGCAGGTTCGTTACATGGCTAGATTATGTAATGCCGAGGTTTGGCCTGCTAGCGCAGCCATCATCCAAAGTGATCCTAGTACCCAATAGGTAGTTTTCAACCTGTGTACCTCCTCTTCTACCTTCTCTTTTGGAATCTCTAGTCTATTACTTCCATCTTTATGTTCACATGTACTCATTGTTTAGCTCCCACTTAGAAATGAGACCATGTGGTATTTGATTTTCTGGTTCTGAGTTACTTCTTTTAGGACAAAGGATGAAAAAGAATGTAGCCTCCAGCTCCATCCATGTTGCTGCGAAGGACATGATTCCATTCTTTTTTATGGCTGTATATTTTTACCTTTTTTGTGAGGGGGAGAGGATTTAAATATGGACCAGCATAATGAAGAAAATATCTGTAATCCCACTATTCACATAACCCCTGCTAGTTTAAAAAAAGTTCATGTAGGCTGAGCATGGTGGCTCACACCTGTAATCCCAGCACTTTGGGAGTCCAAGGCTGGAGGATCACTTGAGTTTAAGAGTTTAAGACCAGCTTGAGTAATATAGTGAAACATCATGTCTACAAAAAATAAAAATTAGCCAGGTATGGTGGTGCATGCCTGTAGTCCCAGCTACTTGGGAGGATTGCTTGAGGCCAAGAGTTCGAGGCTGCAGTAAGCTGTGATTGTGCCACTGCACTCCACCAGGCATTTAAAAAAAAAAAGTAAATAATTAGAAAATTTAAATAGTGTAAACCAGAGTCCTCTCCTATTAGTTTGCTAGAGTTACCGTAACAAAATACCACAAACTGAGTGACATAAGTGACACTATTTTTTTTTTTTTTTGAGATGCAGTCTCACTCTGTCACCAGGCTGCACGATCTCGGCTCACTGCAGCCTCGGCCTCCCAGGTTCAAGTGATTCTCCTACCTTGGCCTCCCGAGTAGCTGGGACTTCCAGCCTCCAGAATTGAGAAATTTAATTTCTTTTAATTTTAAAAAATTAAGAGTGACACTTGGCCGGGCGCAGTGGCTCATGCCTATAATCCCAGCACTTTGGGAGGCTGAGGTGGGCAGATCACGAGGCCAGGATATCGAGACTATCCTGGCTAACACAGTGAAACCCCGTCTCTACTAAAAATACAAAAAGTTGTTTGGGCGTGGTGGCTCATGCCTGTAATCCCAGCACTTTGGGAGTCCGAGGTAGGCGGATAACCTGAGGTTGGGAGTTTCAGACCAGTATGACCAACACGGAGAAACCCTGTGTCTACTAAAAATACAAAATTAGCTGTGCATGGTGGTGCATGTCTGCAATCCCAGCTACTTGGGAGGCTGAGGCAGGAGAATCGCTTGAACCCGGGAGGCAGAGATTGCAGTAACCCAGCTCACGCCATCGCATTACAGCCTGAGCAACAGGAGCAAAACTTCATCTCAGGGAAAAAAAAAAAAAGTCTAAGTAGTCCCAAAAACATAAAATTTGAGCCTAAAATAAGAACTGTTTTAAAATTTTAATATATTGTGTTTTTTCGCCATGTAATCCCAGGTATTCTTCAGGTTAGAACTCAGTTTCACAAGAAGGGGTGTGCTTGGAAAACTTACCAAAATCTCCTGATTAGATACTTTTTTCGTTTGTTTCTGTTTTTTTGAGACAGAGTCTCGCTCTGTCGCCCAGGCTGGAGTGCGGTGACACAATCTCGGCTGACTGCAACCTCGGCCTCCCGGGTTCAAGCGATTCTCCTGCCTCAGCCTCCCGAGTAGCTGGGACTACTGGCACACACCACCATGCCCGGCTAATTTTTGTATTTTTAGTAGAGACAGGGTTTCACCATGTCGACCAGGCTGGTCTTGAACTCCTGACCTCAGGTGATCCACCCACCTTGGCCTTCCAAAGTGTTGGGATTACAGGCGTGATCCACAGCGCCTGGCCAGAACATACTTATTTAGCAGGTGTGGATATGTGTATTTAAACAGACTTGTAAATAGATGTATAAATGTATACCCATAATGAAATTGATGAAATTATATATATATTTATATATTCATTATAAGGGGTTACATTTCTTCCCCCAGCCTAGAAAGCTTCACTACATAACATGATTATGTGGGAGTTTGAGAGTTGGATCGCTTTGCATTACTGTAAATGATAGAGCTTTATTTTAAAGTATTTTTTATTCTAAAGGTATATGTGCCTTTCATAAATTCAAATTCTAACAAAAGGTATACATCACAAGTTCAGTTTTACTCCCCAGAGGTTATCACTGGAAACTTTTTTTGTATATTTTTCCAGATGTTTTTGGTTTGTAGATAAGACATGTTTGTACGTAGAAAAAAAATACAGACATAGGCATATATGTTCTTTGAAAACAAATGAAATTAGGCCGGGCATGGTGGCTCACACCTGTAATCCCAGCACTTTGGGAGGCCGAGGCGGGTGGATCGTGAGATCAGGAGATCGAGACCATCCTGGCTAACACGGTGAAACCCCATCTCTACTAAAAAATACAAAAAATTAGCCGGGCATGGTGGTGGGCGCCTGTAGTCCCAGCTACTTGGGAGGCTGAGGCAGGAGAATGGCATGAACCCGGGAGGCAGAGCTTGCAGCGAGCCGAGATGGCACCACTGCACTCCAGCCTGGGCCACAGAACGAGACTCCGTCTCAAAAAAAACAACAACAACAAAAAAACAAATGGAATTATACTATAAATACTGTTTTGTGCCTTACTTTTTTTTGGCATACTAGTATATGTTATACATCTTTTCATAGGTATATCATGATTAATGTAGGTGCAGTTCAGTAATGATTCAAATGAAGTTTTCATTATATTCTATTTTTGAAAAATTACCAATAACTACATATATAACTGAAATCACATTATGTAACTGTCAGTATAAAGGAATGGCTCAGGTAAAACCAAATAGAAGTTGTATATTTAATATTTTAATAATTTTTTTAATTAAAAAGTTAAAACTTGTACTACATGGCTATTTATTAGGGTAAGGAAGTATGATCTCTTTAACGTACATGGTATTTTAAAAATATCTTATTCTGGTGTGTCTTCTTGATTGTAAAACCCCACTTAACATTTTGGGCTTCTATTTATATCTTTTTACTTTAAAGTAACACTATTCTGTGGTTATTCTTGTGGCATATTAAAGTGATATTTTAAGGAATACTTAACCAAATTCTATATAAAATGTATCTACTCTAAGTTAGAAATCTTGGTGCCCTTACTGGTCTTATGATCTTGGAAGTCACTTAAGATCCTGAGCTCTGTGTTAAGCCAGTGCTGGTTCAAGTTCTGGATCTACCATTGAATAATTGACCATGACTTCTTTATACTTCAGTTTCCCCAATTGTTGAATAGGAATAATGATTGTTGTGATGAGTCCATAAAAAATACAGTCTTACTGACTTTATGGTGGCCGAAATTTCAAGAGTAACACAGTAACAGTTAAGTCATACTGGGACTCAGGCTAATCTTTTCTCCGTTGCCCTAGGCATTGATGTCCCCCTGGCAAATGAGGGTGAGAAGCGGTGAGGGATTGCATGGGAGGTTTGGGGACAAGGCCTGAGAGTAGTAAAGAGGCATCTTTCACTTTTGCCCACATTTCATTGTCCAGACCAGTCATGTGAAAGGGAAGCTGGGAAATGTAGTTTAGCCATATGCCAGGAGGAAAAGGAAACGCTTTGGTAAATAGCCAGTTTTTGCCACCAGTGCTAAGCACAGTTCCTGGAAGATGGTTTTCAAGTCATTAAGCAAGTCACTTTTCACCTCTCCAGGTCCGTGTTTCTTTCTGTAAAGTGGGAAGGGGGATGATAATGAAAACTTCTATGAAGCATGTTTTGGGAGAACTATATGTTATAACCATCTTAACTCACTTAATTCTTACAAAAGTCCTCTGAAGTAAAGACTATTATTGTCCTTTTTTTTTTCTTTTTTAACAGCTGAGGAAGCTAAGGCTCAGAGTGAGTCATGGACACAGGATTTGAACCCAGGCAGTCTTTTCTGTAGGGTCTGTGCTTTTATTTATTTTTATTTTTATTAATTTTTTTTTGAGATGGAGTCTCATTCTGTCGCCCGGGCTGGGTGCAGTGGTGTGATCTCAGCTCACTGCAACCTCACCTCTCAGGTTCAAGCACTTCTCCTCCCTCAGCCTCCCAAGTAGCTGGGATTATAGGCGAGTGCTACCACGCCAGGCTAATTTTTGTATTTTTAGTAGAGTCGGGGTTTCACTGTGTTGGCCAGGCTGGTCTTGAACTCCCGACCTCAGGTGGTTCACCCGCCTCAGCCTCCCAAAGTGCTGGGATTACAGGCATGAGCCACTGCACCTGGCCTCAGGCATAATGTGATATCATTTATAAATATTAGAGAATGTAGTTCTAAAAAGTGAAGGCTTAAGAAAAACCTAATACCACCATCATACTCAAAAAAAAATTGACAGTTAAATCCATAATATCATCAAATATTCTATGTTCAGGTAAACATGTCTCAGTTTTTAAAAGTATTTGAATAAGGCTTACATATTGCGATTAAGTCTCTTAATCTGTAGGTTACCACCTTCCTTTTTATTCTCGCAATTTATTTGTTAAAGAAATGGGTTATTTGCCCTGTAGAGTTCCCGTAGTCAGGATTTTGCTGATTCCTGAGATTCAATACCAGGTTTATCCCTGATATTTCTCTATTTTCTGTATTTCCAAATGAGTAGTTGGAACCAGAGGCTTGGTCAGAGTCAGGTTCAGTCTTATTTTACAAGACTGCTTTGTAGTTGTGGTGCATTCTTTCATCAGGAGGCACAAAATGTGATTGTCTCTTTTTGTGACACTAGCAACTGTTGGTGACTAATGCCTAGATCCGTTGATTCATTAAGGGTTGTAAAATGATAATGTTCTAGTTGTGTTACTCCTTCATTTTATTATCTGGAATACTGTTTTATAAAAAGAAAAGTTTCCATCACCTCTTACTTGGTTGCCCAGTGTAACTGTTCATATGAGAAAGGCAGAATAAATGTTTGCTTGTTTACCTTTCTTTACCAGTTTCCAGTATAGTCAGTAGGTTCACTGTACTTTCCAGCTGTGATTAATAAATTTTTAAAATTATTATTTTTAATGTATCTGTTACTGTATAGGACAGTATCTGGAAATACCCAAAGACAAGATCTCTAAAGAAGTCATTGGCTAGTGGTGGATCAGTGCAGTGTGGTGTTGATGGTGGTGGTGGTGGTGATGGTGGTGGTGGTGGTGGTAGTGGTGATGGTGGTGATGGTGGTGGTGGTGGTGGTGGTGGTGATGGTGATGGTGGTGGTGGTGATGGTGGTGGTGGTGGTGATGGTGATGGTGGTGGTGGTGATGGTGGTGGTAGTGGTGGTGGTGGTGATTGTGATGTGGTGGTGATGATGGTGGTGGTGGTGGTGGTGGTGATGGTGGTGGTGGTGGTGGTGGTAGTGGTGGTGGTGGTAGTGGTGGTAGTGGTGGTGGTGGTAGTGGTGATGGTGGTGGTGCTGGTGGTGGTGGTAGTGGTGGTGGTGGTAGTGGTGATGGTGGTGGTGGTGGTGGTAGTGGTGGTGGTGGTAGTGGTGGTGGTGGTGGTGGTGGTGGTGGTGGTAGTGGTGGTGGTGGTGGTGGTCGTGGTTTTAGTGGTGGTGGTGGTGGTGGTGGTGGTCGTGGTTTTAGTGGTGATGGTGGTGGTGGTGGTGGTAGTGGTAGTGGTGATGGTGGTGGTGGTGGTGGTGGTGGTAGTGGTGGTGTTATGCACATGGGGGATAATATAGCAGAGGCATTAAGCTTGAAATCAGGAAAGAGCTCTGGAGTTATCCTTGAGCTGTGTTTTGAAGGTTGAGTAGCAGTTTGCTATTGGAGGAGGTAGAGGTTACTTTTCAGGCAGAGGGAGCAGCATTTGCAAAGGCTCTGAGATGTGAGAGTTTGTTACTGAAGAAATTTGGTAGGGCTGGAAGCTCAGTGAGCTTGGTGCGAGAGAGTCAAGAGATGAGGCTTTAGAGATAGTATGGGTTTTAAGTCATTCCAAGGAATAGTTTTGATTTAACTCTGAAGGCCATGGAGAGACATTGAAAGGTTTTATCCAAGTGAATGATGGAAGGAGCAAACTGTGGAACCCTTGGGGCAGCACTGAGAAGAGCGACTCATGATGCCCCTTTTCTGAACTGCTTATACAGATTTGATTCTCATTCTTGGCATTACTCCTGATTCCTCCTTCGTCTACATGCACACGCACCTACACACACACACAAACACACACAGAGACACACGTCTGCCTCTCGGATCTCCTTCTAGAGTCTTAGTTCTTGTTTTTTTCAGAATTTGGGCAACTAACAAGGCTAGAAAGGAGGCCATCTAAAAAAGCGATTGGTGTTGAAAAGTTGCTGCTCCCGTCCTAGCAGCACAACTCTTCACTTCATAGTAATGGGAGTAATGACGATGATGAGTGTGGACAACTAATGAGCACTTAACTGTAGTACCAGGGACTATTCTCAGAATTCATTAGCGTGACAACCCTCTAAGGTAGGGTCTGTTATCCCCGTTATACAGATGTGGCAGAAACGGCAGGGAGAAGTTAAGTGACTTGCTTAAGGTAATAAATGTAGTAAGAAGCAGAGGTGGGATTGAACCTGAACAGTTTGCATCTAGAGTTCATGCTCATAACATTCTATTTATTGCCTTTCTGGTTTTATGACCCCCTTCTTATCTAAGTGTATGCTCTGTGCCCCGCACATACAAACTAGTTCCCGTAACATGTGTAATATAATCCCTCCTTTCCCAGGGTTTCCCGGCTTCCTATCCTTCCCCTTAGCTTTCTGTCATCAGTTTTTCCTAGGATTTCTGGTTCAGCCTATGTCAAAGTGAGAGTCACCAACATAGGTGATGATAAATACTGTTTGATTACAGGAATGTAGGAAGATGCGCAAGCATTCTACTAAAAATGCTTTTCCCACAGATAGAGTAAACCAAGGTTGCTTAGGTTTTGTAAGACTGCCATTCAACTATAAATAGGCCTTATGTATGTTTACTAAATCAGAAAACATTTAATATAGCTAAATTTTAAATAATCAACAACAGAAAATAAAAATATTTTGCCCCACCGTCTTAAGGTTACAAAGACTTAGAGGTATATTTTATTTACATGCATGCATACACACACACAAACACACAAACACAAATCATATATAGATGTGTAGAAAATATAGAAAAGTAGAAAAATGTATACAAATATGTGAAATACATTATGTGGAATCATGTTTGTATTTTTTTAGCTTAGGAAAGAAAGCCATTAAAAGACTTACATGTCAATAACCATGATACTATAGGATTTTAGTAGTTGCAGAGTATTACATTACTTAAATAAATGATTCATGGAATAGTCTTTTTTTATTGGACAAGGGATTTTCCCCTCCCCCTCAATCTTTTAGAGTTAGAAACAATGCAGAGATGCGTGTCTTTATAGTTAAACCTTTGTACATTTTATAATTTACTTATGATAAATTTTCAAGTTGAATTCCTAGGCCAAAGGGTATACAGATTTTAAGGACTTTCAATGTTGGCAGATATCACTGTAGGATAATTATACCAATTTATACTCTTAACAGTAATATATGAGTGTATATATTTACCTATTCCTTGCCAGTTCTGGAAATTGTGAATTTAACAGAATCTTCCAAAAAGCATTGAAAATTGGCCTAGGAATGTAAATATCCTTTTCTTCCCCATTCAGCTTACTAATGAATCTATCATAATCTCAGCTGTGTGAGTCTAAAAGAGAACCAGTAAAATTGAGATAACAAGTTTATTGCAAAATAAATGACCTGAAAGCCACAGGCATTGGGTGGGGTAGGAGAAGGGCAGGTAGTGGTGACTGAGGTGACTCTGTGTTTGGGTTTTTGAAAAGATTGTAGATTTGAAGGATAATGAGTTCAGAGAAGTAGAAAGGCAAATAGGGGCTGTTATAAATAAGGACAGTGGCATGAGCCAACGGGGTTATCTCTCATATTTAAAGAACATGGCTAGATCTGGTTTCCCTATAAGTTGATTCCTTACTGTTATTCTGAGTTGAATGCATATCTTTTGTCTCAGTGAAGCCTGAATGGCTTTTGATGTCTCTGATCTGGAAAGGTTGTTTGTGTATCTCAGAATAAGTCATTTTGCTAAAAAAGGCTACTCCTGAGGGAGAGCAGTGGAAAAAAGAGTTGGAAAAGTGGATTGTAGCTAGTTGAAAAAAGGATTTGAATGTCAAGCTTTAGGAATTTGGTTCTTATTTGGTATGTTACAGGCAACCATATGGACTTTTGAGCAGGTGAAAAGTACAGTATTAATGGGTAGGGATAGCTTGGGAGGGAAGGAGACATGGACATTGAGCTTCAGAAAAACCAGTTAGTAAAATGTTTCAGATAATACATTGGTAATAGAAAAAGATCCATTGAAATGTGAGGCATTCACATGGAAAGAACTGGCAGAATGTGGTAATTAACAGCTATAAGGACCCCAAAATAAAAGGAGTAATCAAACATCACTCAAAGCTTTTAGCACAGTTTTTGAGAACAGTGTCAGAAGGAGAAGACAACTTTGTTCCTAAAAGTTATATTGTAAAATAAATGTAGCTTATACATTTTTGAAAGTGAAATCTCAGGATTCATGGTATCATTACTTCTACTTGCCAAATTATTAAAATGGTGTTATATTTCTTAAGATATTTTAAAGCCTCTATTGTAGAACAGAAATGGTAGAAAATGGAACTAATGTTTATTAACAGTTACTATGGAAGAGGGAATAGAAATGTGTTGCTCTTGAACAGGTTTATTCAACTTTGGCACTATTGACATCTTGGGCTAGCTAATTCCTTGTCACGGGCAGTATGTCCTGTGTGTAGGATGTTAAGCAGCATTTCTGGCCTCCACCCACTAGATATAGTAGCACACCCATGCCCCTCCCCTCCTCCCTGCCTCTGTGACAACCAAAAATGTCTTTAGACATTGCCAGATGTCCCTTGGGCAGCAAAAATTGCTCCCTCTCCCCAGTTAAGAGCCATTGTTCTAGAGTACAGAATCAGTACCACTAAATAAATGTTATTGGTGTGTTTAGAACAGTGCCTAGCACATAGCTGGTACTCAAATATTTGTTGAATAAATGAGTAGTCAGATTTTCATTGTGAATTAAAAACAGAACAAAACTTGATGTCTGACCTTTCAAGTTGCTTTTACAAAAGAAATGGGATGTCCATTGAACATCTGTTTTAGATCTGATTTCCCAATCTGGATTATTAAAATGAGGAGGCTATTTTTTTCCCAGTATATAAATGATTCTAATACTTTTTGCTGTAAAACTTTTGGAGTCTCTCTGCTAAATTATGTTCCAGTTTCTTAGCTTGGGATTCAAGTCATAAATATACTAGGTCTGTCTTACCTTTCAGTGCTTTTATTTGTTCCCTTTTGAACATGGCTGAATTTTACCTTTCTGTCTCCCTGCCCGCCATTCTTGCTACCCCTCCTTCCTTTTTCCACTCTCATCTTTTTCCCATTTTCCAGTCTGTAAATCCTACCTATCCTTTTATTTTTTAAATTACAATATCTCATTCTGTTACTTAGGCAGGAGTGTGGTGGCACAATCATAGTTGACTGCAGCTTCGAATTTCTGGGCCCAAATGACCCTCCCATCTCAGCCTCCCAAGTAGCTGGGAATACAGGTGCACAATACTGTGCCCGGCTAGTTTTTTTTTTTTTTTTTTTTTTTGAGACAGAGTTTCACTCTTGTTGCCCAGGCTGGAGTGCAATGGTGTGATCTCGGCTCACTGCAACCTCTGCCTCCCGGGTTCAAGTGATTCTCCTGTCTCCGCCTCTCGAGTAGCTGGGTTTATAGTCGTATGCCCCCATGCTCAGCTAATTTTTGTGTTTTTAGTAGAGGTGGGGTTTCATCATAGTGGTCAGGTTGGGCTTGAACTCCTGACCTCAGGTGATCTGCCTGCCTCGGCGTCCCAAAGTGATGGGATTATAGGTGTGAGCCACTGTGCCCAGCTTAGTTTTGTTTTTTTTTTTTGAGATGGAGTCTCGCTGTGTTGCCCAGCCTGGAGGGAAGTGGTGTAGTGGTGTGATCTCAGCTCACTGCAACTTCTGCCTCCTGGGTTCAAGTGATTCTCCTGCCTCAGCCTCCCAAGTAGCTGGGACTACAGGCGCATGCTGCCACCCCTGGCTAAGTTTTTATATTTTAGTAGAGATGGGGTTTCACCTTGTTACCCAGCTGGTCTCAAATTCCTGAGCTCAGGCAATCCGCTTGCCTCGGCCTGCCAAAGTGCTAGGATTACAGGTGTGAGCCACCATGCCCAGCCATTCCCAGCTAGTTTTTGTAGATACTGGGGTCTCGCTGTGTTGCCTAGGCTGGTCTCAAACCCATGGGCTCAAGTGATCCTCCCATTACAGCCTCCCAAAGTGCTGGGATTACAGGCACGGGCCACTGTGCCCTGCCCTGTCTTCCTTTTTGAAGTCTCTCTCTCTGTGTCTTTACTTTTATACTTATTTTTTCTCTCGTCATGTCTTTGCCCCTGTCTTTTTTGGAGTCTTACTCTGTCACACAGGCTGGATTGCAGTGGCACAGTTCTAGCTCACTGCAGCCTTGAACTCCTGGGGTCAAGTGATCCTCTAGCTCAAGTGATCCTCCTACTTCAGCCTCTGAGTAGCTGGGACTCTATGTGTGCACCACCACGCCTGGCTCCTTTGCCCATTTTTGTTTGTTTTTTGGAGACAGAGTCTTACTCTTGTCACCTAGGCTGGAGTGCAGTGGCATGATCTCGGCTCACTGCAACCTCCACTTTCTGGGTTCAGGCGATTGTCCTGCCTCAGCCTCCTGAGTAGCTGAGACTACAGGCGTGCACCACCATGCCTGGATAATTTTTGTGTTCTTAGTAGAGACGGGATTTTGCCATGTTGGCCAGGCTGGTCTTGAACTCCTGACCTCAGGTGATCCACCCGCCTTGGCCTCTGAAAGTGCTGGGATTATAGATAGGAGCCACCATGGCAGGCCTCCTTTGCCCATTTTGAAATTGAGTTGTTTTCTTTTCTTTTTATTAACAGGTCCCCCCCCACCCTCCACACACAGTCTTGCTTGTTGCCCCAGGCTGGAGTGCAGTGGCACAATCTTGGCTCACTGCAACCTCTGCCTCCTGGGTTCAAGTAATTCTTCTGCCTCAGCCTCCTGAGTAGCTGGGATTACAGGTGCCTGCCACCATGCCTGGCTTATTTTTGTATATTTAGTAGAGATGAGGTTTCACCATGTTGACCAGGCTGGTCTTGAACTCCAGACCTGTGATCTTCCTGCCTTGGACTCCCACAGTGCTGGGAATACAGGCATGAGCCACTGGACCCTGGCCTTAACTACATATTTTTTACATCTGCACAGTGTTTTGGAAAAAGTGGTTCAACTGAAAGAATGAAAAGTTGGGGGCAGAATTTGCTTTAAAAAAAAATTAAAAAAAGGGCATTGAAAAAAGTTTCAGTGGTGTTGGGAGGGCCTTGGAACAAGGAGTGAATGGAAGATGAGGGAGTGGAGGGAGGCCATGTATGGACTCTTTCTACAGACCAGGCTGTTGAAGGAGAGAGGGCTAACAGGAAATGTAGTGCAGGGGGAAGTTTTTTGAAGATGGGAGAAAGAAGACAACTTTTATATATTTCATTTCATTTGATTCCTTATAAATTTGTAAGGAAGATAGAGCTTGTATTATGTCAGTGAAGTTGAAAATAGAGCACAGAAAAATTAAGATACAGCACCCCCAAAACTGAGAACTTCTGACATAATACACTGTTGGAAATATTTATTTCAGAGTGAAGAAAATATTGGAAGTTAGGCTTGTTAATTGGTCTGCATGGTTCATAATTACTCTTTCTTATTAACTATTTAAGGAACATGAGACCAGGAAGTTAAATACCCAGGTATATGCAGATGTATATCTAGAATTGGTACCAAAGTAAATACAGGCATACCTTGGAGATACTGTAGGTTCCATTATAGACTACCACAATAAAGTGAATATCACCATAAAGCAAGGCACACAAATATTTTGGTTTACCAGTGTATGTAAATATTATGTTTATATTCTACTGCAGTCTATTAAATGTTCAATAGCGTTATATTTAAAAAACCAATGTGCATACTTTAATTTAAAAATACTTTATTGCTAAAAAATGCTACTGATCATCTGAGCTTTCAGTAAATTGTAAGGTTTTTTGCTGATAGAGGATGTTGGTGGCTGCTGACTGATCCCAGCAGTGATTGCTGATGGTTGGGGTGCCTCTGGCAGTTTCTTACAATAAGACAACAATGAAGTTTGCTACATTGATTGCCTCTTTCTTTCGTGAAAGATTTCTCTGTAGCACTTGATGCTGTTTCATAGCATTTTTTACCCAAAAGTAGAACTTTTTTTCAAAATTGGAGTCAGCTCAAACCCTGCCACTGCTTTAACAACTAAGGTTATATAGTATTCTAAATCCTTTGTTGTCATTCAATAATTTCACAGCCTTTTCACCAGGAGTAGTTTCCATCTTTAAGAAACCACTTTCTTGGGTCATCTGTAAGGAACAACTCCTAATCTGTGCAAGTTTTATCATGAGATTGCAGCAATTCAGTCACATCTTCAGGCTCCACTTCTAATTCTCTTGCTGTTTCCACTACATCTGCAGTAACTTCCTCCACTTGAGTCTTGAACCTCTCAAAGTCATCCATGAGAGTTGGAATCAACTTCTTCCAAACACCTGTTCGTGTTGATATTTTGACTTCCTCTCATGAATTATGAATGTTCTTAATGACATCTACGGTGGTGAAGTCTTTCCAGAAGGTTTTCAGTTTATTTTGCCCAAATCTACTACAGGAATCACTTTTTTTTTTTTTTTTGAGACAGAGTCTCTCTTTGTCGGCCTGGCTGGAGTGCAGTGGTGCGATCTTGGTTTACTGCAACCTCTGCCTCCCGGTTCAAGCGATTCTCCTGACTCAGCCCCCCGAGTATCTGGGACTACAGGTGCGTGCCACCACGCCTGGCTAATTTTTGTATTTTTAGTAGAGATGGGGTTTTGCCATGTTGGCCAGGGTGTTCTCGAACTCCCGGCTTCAAGAGATCCTCCTGCCTTGGCGTCCCAGAGTGCTGGGATTACAGGCATGAGCTGTCGTGCCTGGCTGAAATGTATTTCTTGAACAATAAGACTTAAAAATTGAAATTACTCATTGATGCATGGGCTGCAGGATAGATGTTGTATTGTACTGGCAGGCATGAAAGTAACATTCTTCTTTCTGAACATATCCATCAAAGCCCTCTAATGACCTGGTCCATTGTTAGTGAGTGCTAATATTTTGAAATGAATGTTTTTTCCTTAGCAGTAGGTCTTGACAGTGGACTGAAAATATTCAGTAAGCCAACCTCTAAACAGATGTGCTGTCATCCAGGAGACTGTTGTTCCATATGTAGATAGCAAGCAGATTAGATATAGCATAATTCTTAAGAGCTCTAGGACTTTTTTGAGTGGCAAATGAGCATTAGCTTCAATGTCAAGTTACCAGCTGCATTAGCCCCTAACAAGAGAGTCAGTTTTTATTTATTTATTTATTTATTTATTTATTTATTTTTAAAAGAGACAAGAGTCTCGCCTTGTTGTCCAGGCTGGCCTTGAACTCCTGGGCTCAAGTGATTCTCTTACCTTGGCCTCTCAAAGTGCTGGAATAACAGGTGTGGCCCCAGCCTGACCTTTGAAGCAAGGCATTGATTTTCCCTCTCTAGCTGTGAAAGTCCTAGATGGCATCTTCTTCTAATGGAAGGCTCTTTTGTCTACTTAAAACACCTTGTTTAGTATAGCCACCTCCAGCAATGATCTTAGATATATATTCTGGATAACTTGCTACAGCTTCCATGTCAGCACTTGCTGCTTCACTTTCCACTTTTATGTTATGACAATAGCATTTTTCCTCATGAGCCAACCTCTACTTGCTTCCAGTTTTTCTTCTGCAGTTTTCTCACCTCTCTCAGCCTTCATAGAACTGAAGAAGGTTAGAGCCTTGCTGTGGATTAGGCTTTTTGCTTAAGGGAATGTTGTGGCTGGTTTGATCTTTCATATGGACCACTAAAACTTTCTTCATATTAGCAATAAGATTGTTTCATGTTCACTGACATAGTGCTTTTAATTTTATTCAAGAATTTTTTGTTTACATTCATAATTGGCTGAATGGTACAAGAGGCCTAGCTTTAGGCCTTTCTCACTTTTTGATATTCCTTCCCCACTAAGATTAATCATTTGTAGCTTTTCAGTTAAAATGAGAGGCACGTGACTTTTCCTTTCCCTGAATTGTTTGGGCATTATATATGACTTCCGTTGCACTACAGTGTCAGAGTTGGTTGCTGCAGAGAGCACATATATTTCAAATTGCTGCTCTGCATGCTACGAATCACAATAACATAGTTACTGTTTGTCAGTATGTGTGTGTGTGTGGGCACCACACATATTGCCCTGGCATCTTATTTATTTCTCTCATTACCAGTGCATACTTACCTATCATGTTAAAACAAGAAAAGGAGAAAAGTGGACTTTATATGTAACACTTTAGAGGCATAGTGGAATGTATATTATTATTAACAAATTAGATAGCAAAGCATTATATTTGTTATGCTAGAAGACTATGGCTGTGCTAAAAGAATATAATATATGTCAACATTGCCAGACTGGGCACTTCTCACAATATTCCCAACCAACAGGAATAAAACTAAAGGTCAGAAAAAAAAAATAGTAAATTAAAACAAAATTTTATCACAGCAGAATTTCTTCTCAAAAACAAAAAATGGAAATTAGGCTATAATTAAAGTAAGTTTTTCAATGGCTTGTTAGCCAAGCAAGGAAAACCATTACCAACAGTAGTTAATTAAATTATGTTTTATTATGGTAACCAAAGATGTGTCCGTAGAAAATAAACTTTAAAAAAGACTATTAGCCTTTCAGTGAGAGTAATTGCTCTAAAAGTTAAGGACATTGGGAGTAATATCAAGTCATTTTGGAAAGAAGGGTGAATGATTTTTCATGGTTTTCTTAGGCTTTTGATGGATGAATAGGTGTTACCAGTACTGTTCAGTTGTTACATATTCCAGAAGTCAGTGCTGAGTTTGAAGTGATTGAAGAATTAGTATTTATGCATAGTCTATGTGAAACAAGTACAAGAGAAAATATTTTCAGAAAAGTTGAGCAAACACTAACTTAGTACAACCTGAAGTGGAATCCGCTAAGATGCGTTACAGTTGATAGTGGCAAAAATAACTGTGGAGCAGAAAGACTTGAGTTGGACAAATTTACAAAGCTTGTTAAATGTCAGGTGTTTAAAGCCTGATTATTTATTGTATTATTTATTAGCAGGTACTTTGCAGAAAATATTTAAATCTGTCATGTTTTAGTGAACTATTATATAATAGTGTCAGCAGTGATTTTGACTTGCATTTGTGGACTTTATCATCAAATCCTATGAATTTTTGTTAGATATAGAGGCAGAATATACTGAATTGCCATTATACAGAGCAATTTAATGACTTGGCAGTGGTAAAGTTTTATTTCAGTTTTTTGCGCTGAGGAATGAGATTGAAATTTTTCTGAATAATATTGCCCTCAACTGTTAAGTCAAATGCTTAATAGCTTTGAAAGTTGGCTTTTCCTATAGATTTCATAATATTTTGTAACAAATTCACCTAAAATTACAAGGCAGAACAGTGATTATAAGTGAACCTTATACTGTGGTAAGGTCACTTCTACAAGAATAATGAATCATGAAAATCAAGAGAAAGAACAAATAGTAGGAAAATATCTTCCAATTCCTTTTGGCCCTTCATATTTCCACCTAAACTCATAAGCTTTTAAAAAGATAATTATTTTTATTTATACTTAAAAAGATAATATAGGATAATATTTTTGTAAAAGAGTTCTTGAGATACAGCACTGAATGTAAAGAAAATATTGGAGCATTCAACTACATTTGAGAAATAACTTCTGTTTATTAAAAGATACCGTAAGAATGAAAGCACAAGCCCTAATGAATATTCCTGTTTGATACTAAACCAAAGCTTGAGAAGTGGTAGTTTCTCAAGTTTTTCAAGTGGTTTGGTGCAATCTGAAGACTGCAATCCCATCAATGAACTTTATATCTTTACCCTTTAAAATTATAATTTATGGGCTGGGCGCAGTAGTTCACGCCTGTAATCCCAGCACTTTGGGAGGCTGAAGCGGGTGGATCACGAGGTCAGGAGCTCAAGACCAGCCTGGCCAAGATTGTGAAACCCCGTCTCTACTAAAAATACAAAAATTAGCCAGGCATTATAGCAGTCACCTGCAATCCCACCTACGGGGGAGGCCAAGGCAGAGAATCGCTTGAATCCAGGAGGTGGAGGTTGCAGTGAGCCGAGATTGTGCCACTGCACTCCAGCGTGGGTGACAGAGTGAGACTCCATCTCAGACAAAAAAAAATATATATATATATATATATATATATAAAATTTATTAGACTACCTTGCAATTTCAGGGGATCTTTTACCCATATATGATTTTATTAGATTACTAAGTGGTCTTTGGAAAATATTGATTCACTGAGTGATCCAGATAGTCCAACTATTCATACGGTTGTTTTTGTTTGTTTGTTTTGTTTTGTTTGAGACAGAATCTCACTCTGTTGCCCAGGCTGGAGTGCAGTGGTGCGATCTCAGCTCACTTCCATCTCCTGGGTTCAGGTGATGCTCATGCCTCAGCCTCCTGAGTAGCTGGGACTATAGGCATGCACCGCCAGGCCCAGCTAATTTTCGTATTTTTAGTAGAGATGGGGTTTCACTATGTTGGCTAGGCTGGTCTTGAACTCCTGACCTCCAGTGATCCCAAAGTGCTGGGATTACAAGTGTGAGCCACCTTACCTAGTCCTACATATTTTTAATAAATAACAAAATTCACATTTGTTATAATCGACTGATCTCATCAGAAAAGTCTTTAAGTATTGGAATTAGTTAAGCTTACATTGTTGGTTGTAAGTTTTTCAGATCTTATTGTCCACTCATGTTCTAAGTTGT
The DNA here is from genome assembly GCF_000001405.40 of Homo sapiens. NCBI lineage: Eukaryota > Metazoa > Chordata > Mammalia > Primates > Hominidae > Homo > Homo sapiens. Next base: position 10,438,360 of record NC_000021.9, read on the forward strand.
TTTCCTTGAAGTGACAGGCTCACTTTATTCATTTTTGAAGAAATATGTCAGATAATCAAGTTTTAATAATTGTGGTTTGTTGTTCTTACATGTAAAAACAGTGTTCCATGAAAAAAGCAGTTATTTCAGTTTATAAATCACATGATCACAAATTCTTTCCTCAAGAAAAACTATGGTGTAACAATTATTTTATGCTTTATTTCTCGTTTTGTCACATAGATAATTAAAAGATGTGTATTCATGGATCAAGACTTAAAACATTAAAGATTTTTGCTGCTTCATCAGTGATATTCTCAATGATACTCTACATTATTTTTACTGTAGTTGTAGTGCCAGTTGAGAATGTGACAACTTCTAATACAGCTTGGTGCCAGCTGCCTTCAGTTTTGGAAATGCATCAACAGTATTACCCACCATAGCTTTTGCACCATGTAACAATTTTTGCTTCAATTGTTAAACATTATTTTGGAAACTCAAGGAACAGTAAAGTCTGTTTTATTGCCCATATTTTTACTATTTGTTTGTTCTTTCTTCCTTCAGGATGTTCTGAGAATCCTTCTTTTTATCATTCTCCTTTCTGGTTCAATAACTTTTCTCACTATTCTTTTGCTGTAGTTTTGTCTCATGACTAAGTTTTAGTTCTCATTCATCTCACAATTTCTTGATTTCCCTTTCATTACTAATGGATGTTTTTGCTGGATATAGAATTCTTTGTTGTCGGTTCTTTTAGGACTTGCAAAAATGTTATGCTGCTTTGTTCTGGCCTCCATGGTTTCAGGTGAGAAATCTGCTGTCATTTGAGTTGTTTTTCATCTGTGGATAAGGTGTCATTTCTCTTATTTATCTCAAGGTTTTTAAGTTTAGTCATTAGTTTTCAGAAGTTTATGATATATATTAGCATTGATTTATTTGTGTGTATCCTCTTAGGATTTATTCAATTTCTTGAATCTGTGGGTCTTCGAATAATTGTTCAGCTGCATCATGTTCCTTTTCTGAGATTCCAGTGACAGGAATGTTGCATCATTTATTATATTCCCACAAGTGTCTTTAATGCCTTTTTTTAAAAAAAATATGTATTTATTTGTTTATTTATTGTCAGAGTTTTGCTCTTTTGCCCAGGCTGGAGTGAAGTGGTACGATCTCAGCTCACTGCAGCCTCCACCCCTGGGTCTAAGTGATTCTCCTGCCTCAGCCTCCTGAGTAGCTGGAATTATAGGTGTGTGCCACCATGCCCAGCTAATTTTTGTATTTTTATTAGAGACAGGGTTTTGCCATGTTGGCCAGGCTGGTCTTGAACTCCTCACCTGAGGTGATCCACCCATCTCGGCCTCCCAAAGTGCTAGGATGACAGGCCTGAGTGACCGCACCTGGCCACTGTTTTTTTTTTTTTTTAATCAGTTCATTTACTTCTCTAGGTTGGGTAATCTCTCCCATTTTGTTGTTCAGTTTAGTTTGTATTTTATTATTGCTAGCATATTTTTTAATTTTCAACTTGGTATTTGTTTCTTTCTTGATTTCTTTGTGAAACTTTGTATTGTTTCCTTTGTTTCAAAATTAAGTTTGTAATTGCTTTTTTTTTTTTTTTTGAGGCAGACTCTTGCTCTGTTGCCCAGGCTGGAATGCAGTAGAATGATCTCAGCTCACTGCAACCTCTGCTTCCTGGGTTCAAGTGATTCTCATGCCTCAGCCTCCCAAGTAGCTGGAATCACGGCGTGAACCACCATGCCTGGCTAATTTTTGTATTTTTAGTACAGATGGGGTTTCATGATGTTGGCCAGGCTGGTCTCGAACTCCTGACCTCAAGTGATCCAACCACCTCTGCCTCCCAAAGTGCTGGGATTACAGGCGTGAGCCACTGTGTCCAGCTGTAATTGCTTGTTGACGCAGTTTTATAATATATAGTTTAAAATCTTTGATAGATAATTATGACCTCTATGAATTCTCATTGTTTGCACCTTTTGACTATATTTTCAAATTCCTGTTCAGATTTTCCTGGTTCTTAGTATGGTATGACATGGTATATTTGGTTGAATCCTTTGCATTTTAAGTGTTGTGTTATGAAGCTCTGCATTTTATTTAAATCCCCCCTTTTAGTAGGATTTATCTGAAACTTTGCTTTTGGGGTGGAGGTGGGGCACAGCCTTGTTACTACTCCCAGGTGTATGTGAAGATTCCAGTTTCATAGTAGGCCTTTGTTGACTCACTGATGGAGACGTACACCTAGTAAATGCTGAGTAGGAATGAAAACTCTGGACTTGCATTATACCTTTGTGAATACCACCCTGGCTCAAAAGGTTCCTGCTTTTCACTTGGCCTCCACTGACACTGGGATGGAGGGGTGGTTAAGTTATCACTGAGCAGTGCTTTGAGTTTGGATTCTCCAGTAGGCCTCTGCTGTCATATCTCTGTAGAGGGAGGGATAGGGATATGTCCTTATCATTGGGTGGGTGTTGAACTCAGGCTCCCCACTTTTTTTCCACCCACACTCTAGAGGGAGGAAGCCGCGTTACTGCTCAGTGGGTATGAGTGTCCTGTGTCCCCACTTGGCCTGCTGTGGTATCATGTTGTCTGTGGGTAGGAGTGGGGAATGGCTGACTATGTCCTCCTTTTAAGTCTTTGCAAAAGGTATATGGCTTGGGGTTTTATTTGTACCCTTTGGCTTAAACTGGTTGGTTGTTGTCTGTGAGTTTTTTTTTCTTGGTAGCCTGCCGCTTCCCTGCTTTTTTGACAAGAGACAGCAGAATTTTCTTGGAGTTTTATGTATGTGTGTGCCTGTTGGTGTTTCTGAGTTGTCTGCTTCTCTAGCAACTTTTCTTGTATATATGAGTCAGAAAGGAAACCTAGGGAATTCATCCTCTTGTGTTTCTTGGCACCTGAAGCCCTAATTGGTCTGCCCTCTCTCTACATTTTGTTGTCTTCCTTTGTTTGTCTTATGTATCACGGCCAAGGGTTTTTAAAGCTGTATTTAGTGGAAAGAACAGGGAAAAGTACATTTTCTGCATTTTGCCTGGAAGTGGAAGTCTGCATGCATTTTTGTCTTTTTTTCCCTGAATATAGAGTTCTGGGATGATTATGTTTTTCTTCTTCAAGCATTTAAAAGATGTTGCATTGTTTCCTGTCTTCCATGGTTTCTAATGAGAAGTCAGGTGTGGTGTCAGTATCATTATTCCCATGTATATAGTAATGTTTTGATATTCTCTGGCTGCTTTCAGGATTTTCTCTTTATATTTGGTTTTCAGCAGTCTGACTATGATGTGCCTAGGTGTGGTTTTCTTTGTATTCATCCTGCTTGGGGGTTGCTGAGCTTCTTGAAAGTGTAAGTTGATATTTTTCACCAAATTTGTGAAAAGCTTGACTTTTATTTCTTATTCTTTTTCTGTCTCATTTCTCTCTCCTCTTCCTCTGTAACTCTAATTACATGAATGTTAGTATATTTGATATTTTGTAGGTTACTGAGGGTCTGTTCGTCTTCTTCCCAGTGTTTTTACTTTTAGTTCCTCAGAATAGATACACTATTCATGTATTTTCAAGGAGATGGACCAATTTTCTACCAATCTCTTGTTAAGCCCATCCACTAAAATTTTCATTGAAAGTACTATACTTATTAGTTGTAGAATTTTCTTTTCTTTTCTTTTGAGACAGGGTCTCTGTCGCCCAGGCTGGAGTGCAATGGCGCAATCTTGGCTCACAGCCACCTCCACCTCCCAGGTTCAAGCGATTCTTGTGCCTCAGCCTCTCAAGTAGCCGGGACTATAAGGTGCCCACCACCACACCCAGCTAATTTTTGTATTTTTAGTAGAGGTGGGGTTTCACCATGTTGGCTAGGCTGCTCTCAAAATCCTGGCCTTAGGTGGTCCACCTTCCTCGGCCTTCCAGAGTGCTGGGATTACAGGCAGGAGCCATCGTGCCCAGACTGAAACTCTATTTAAATATAGATTTTAGCCAATGATATTCCGCTTTTTTTCCAAGGGTAAAATGTCCTCCCATTCCAGCCAGTTTTTGGTTATTTACAGGTAACTTCAATTAGTTAGCTTTTACATTTTCTTCAGATTTGAGACATTTTAGGAAAGTTATTCTGATATTAGCCCCTATGCTGTTACCCAATAAATAAATAAATTTATGTGTGAGAGTCATTGTTTTGTTAAGGTATATTTTGCATACACTATAATTCACCCTTTCTAAGGTGTGTATTGAATGTGATTTGGTAAATATGAACAGTCATGTAATTACCATCATAGTCAAGATACAGAATAGACCCTTTACCCATAAATTCGCTCATGACTTTTTGAAGTTACTGCCTACCTCCCACTCCAGCTCCTGGCAATCACCGATCTGTTGCTTTCCTATAGTTTTGCCTTTTCTAGACTAATATATGAATGGAACCATACAGTATAGAATCTTTTCCATCTGCCTTTTTTTTGCTTAGCATAATCGTTTTGAGATTGGTCCATTCACTAGCTTACAGTTAAGTTTCGTTCAATTTTTGGCCAGTATATAAAGCTGCTGTGAGCATTTATGTAACATGCTTCGTTGTAGATGTATCTTTTCATGTTTCTTGGGTAAATACCTAGGACTGGAATTTCTGACTTGTTGGAAATAATATTCTTAACTTTGGAAAACAGTTTCACAGTTTCTTAAAAAGTGTCTGTATACTTTTCCATTTCTAGAGATCTGAGAGTTCCATTTGCTGTACATTGTTGCCAGCACTGGATATTGCCACTGTTTCTAAATTTTAGCCATCTGGTTGGCATTTAGTGACAATTTATTGTGGGTTTGATTTTGCATTCTCTGATGATTAATTAGATTGAGCTTCTTTTTATGTCTTTTTTTTTGCCATTTGTGTATCTTTGGTGACATGTCTGTTAAAGTATTTTGTCTCTACCACCATTTTTTTCCAATTGATTTGCTTGTCATCTTCTTGAGTTCTAAGTTTTTTTTAATATATTATTCACAGAAGTCAGTTATTGGAGATGCATTTTATAAATATTTTTGCCTAATGTGTGACTTGTTTTCATTTATTTAGCAATGTTTATTGAACAGCAGAGGGTTTCATTTTGATGACATTTGTCATTTGTTAATTTTTTGAAGTTGAAAAAATTATGCTCTTTATGCTTTATTAAAAAATCTTTGCTTGCCGCAGTGTTACTTGTAGGTTTAAAAAATCCATTTATGGTTAAATTACACATATGATAAGAGAATACGAGATAAGATTCATGTTTCTTTGTTTTCCATATGAATTATTTGGCAGTTCCAGCATCATTCTAAAAGATTATTTATTGCTCTCTTGAATTACCTTGACCCCTTGCTCAAAAATTAATTGAATATGGGAAAGTTTGCCTATTTCTGTATTTTCTGTTCTTCTGACTTATTTATCTCTCCTTTTACCAAAACCAAACATAAAAAAGATTTTTTTTTCAAAATCATGAGTTGATATTTATGTTTTCAGTTTAATTCAATAGCACAATTACATATCTTTAAAACAATTTTATACCTGTAGCTAAGCTATGGTTGTATATCTTCTTTTAATATCATCTTTCCTGTAACTGAAAAAGTCATTAAAAGAAGAAAAGATTATTGTTTTTGCTTCAATTTCAAAGTAATCAAAACTAAGTGTACTAGTATTAAATAGTTAAAGCTAGTAGATCAATAATGAAATTTAATGTTATTGCTTTTTGCTATATTTTTTGAGTTTACTAGTGATGTAAAAGATTTGAGTTATTTGCTGTGATTATATAAATACTCTTTTGATGCATAAATCAGCTGTTAACATCATGTTAATTTGTGGCATTAATAATTTTACTGATAGCCCTTCTGTGATTCTGATTTTTGGCAGTGGTTTTTACCTGGTAAGTAGCATTTTGTCAGCTGGCAGGTACTGGAAATCTGCTTTATCACTTCTTTTTTTAAGAAAAGTGGAAAACACAAACAGTTTGTTCACCAAAGTTATATTTCAAGGATTCCATTCAACCAGAATCTGGTTCACCTTATTGACTCAACTTGGGGGTATATGTACTAGATTTTTACATACATCTGTTTGGAGAAACTCGTTTTATCTGTGTAATGTTTGTAAGACCAGAAGTTCTTTTACTGTTCTTGAAATAAAACTTTTAAGAAGCTGAGTATTCTTCTGTTAGTTTCAAATTTGGACTAAAATTACACCAAGGTTTTGGACTAAAGAGGAAGCAAATAATCTGTTCTTATGTTCTTAAAAGACATGATTTAAGTGTATCCAACTAGATTCTTAGTGTGTCTGTGTTTACTCCTACTCAAATGAAAGCTTTTAAATTCTTTCCCACTTTTTGAAGTATTTAACTCTTCTGTAATATGCAGTGTTTTCTTATTAACTTTAAAGTTGTGTTAAGCAAACGTGTTTAAATTAATATTTCAATTTCAAAAACCCTAATTTGAAACAATAAATTTTATCATTGTATACATTATGAGCTTTTAAGAATAACCAAAAAAATGAGGGTGGATGTTTTATGTGGAAGTTATGTGTATCCCTTTTCTGCTTTTGGCTAAGGACAGATACCTTAGAATTAGCTTTATGGCGCAGTCATCTATCTGATTATTTCAGTTAATATCATCTTAATATAATACAGGTTACTTGAGAAGAAAAACTCTTAACCCAGTATTGGAGAGATGCCAGGTAGGATACTAACCTTGATAGAGGATTTCATGTGAGAAAGAAAAAGGAAAATATTTTCCATTAAAAGTTGAGTTTTTATCTAAAATTCTCTTGATTTTCTAAAAAAACTTAATTTTTCTAAAAATATGTTGAAGAATTATATATAAAATTCACTTTGCTATATATATAGAGCAAGTGAATAATAGGTACACATTTCTAGGAATACCCCAAATATTAGAACCTATATACTAAAATCACATCAGGAAACAAATAATAGCGCCCCAGACATTCCATTCAAGCCTCCTGTTGGTTACTATTCCTAACTCCCCAGAGACATGCACTATCATCTAGTAACAACATAGGTGAGTCTTGCCTATGTTTGTACTTTGCGTAATTGGCTTTGTACTTCGTATAATTGAGCTACTAAGTCGTTTATTTTTCTCATTGATATATAGTATTCTGTTGTTAAGAGTACTATAATTTATTTATTTTACCGTTGGGCATTTTGAGGACTTTCAATTTGAGGTCATTATGAATTGTGTTCTGTGAACATTGCAGTACATTTCTTTTGGTTGACACTGAGAGTATTATGGATTCTAACCCCAAAGTGGCTACTTTCTTTTCTTACTTTCTTTTTTACTTTTTATTTTTTTGAGACAAAATCCAGCTCTGTCACCCAGGCTGGAGTGCAGTGGTGCAATCTTGGCTCACTGCAACCTCCACCTCCCGGGTTCAAGCGATTCTCCTGCCTCAGCCTCTCAAGTAGCTAGGATTACAGGCGTGCACCACCATGCCTGGCTAATTTTTGTATTTTTTTTGGTAGAAATGGGGTTTTGCCATGTTGGCCAGGTTGGTCTCGAACTCCTGGTCTCAAGTGATCCGCCTGCCTTGGCTTCCCAAAGTGCTGGGATTACATGCACGAGCCACCGTGCCTGGTTATATGTTATTTTCTTACAACCTAAATAAAAACCATTATGTAAACAAGACAAAATACTCAGTACATTTCCATAGTCAATGAATTTGTCTTTATTACTTGTATATAAATAATTATGAACTCCTTGAGTTCAGTTCCTTTTTCATTTCCTGACTCTATGGACTTGAACAAGGAAATTTAACCTCTCTGCTTCATTTGTAAAATGAAAAATAGTGATATCTACCTAAAGTGGTGGTGGTTAGATGGGAATAAAGTAATTTCTTTGTTTTTGTTTTTGTTTTTGTTTTTGTTTTTGAGATGGAGTCTCACTCTGTTGCCCAGGCTGGAGTGCAGTGGCATGATCTCAGCTCACTGCAACCTCTACCTCCTGGGTTCAACTGATTCTCCTGCCTCAGCCTTCCAAGTAGCTGGGATTACAGGCACCTGCCACCAGGCCCAGCTAATTTTTGTATTTTTAATAGAAACGTGGTCTCGCCATGTTGGCCAGGGTGGTCTAAATCTCCTGACCTCAGGTGATCCACCCACCTCTGCCTTCCGAAGTGTTGGCATTACTTGCGTGAGCCACTGTGCCTGGCATAGATGGGAATAAAGTAATTCTTATAAAGTACTTGGCTTAGCTGCTGGCAAATAATAATGCTTACTGATTCTTGCATATTACCCATAGTTTATTGGCTAACTTTATGTCTTCCTTAAATTATGAAATTCTATAAAGTATCCTTGTCTATTTTAAAATTATACTCATTTTTATAACTTACATGCTTTATTTGTATATATCCAGGATACTAGATATTTGTAATCCAAATTGGAGGTTATTTTTTGTCATTTGATTTTTTTTTCTGTAATGTGTGTTCTCACCACATAGAAGTTTTTACATTTTTATGTAGTCAGATTTATTCATGTTTTTATTTATGGTTATGTTAAAGATTATAGCTATTAGGGACCTATTTCTTCAGGGTTTATAATTTATGTATGTTGTTACAAATAGAGAAATTACTTTTTCTTTGACCCAATAGGTAGAGGGCACTTTTGTGGACTCAGAAAGCTTGCCTCTCCTATTTTATTTTAGGAAAATTTCTGAGATTCTGCCTCCTCATTTCCAAGCCAGAGTTTAAAATATTTACATTTTTACTTCATAGTGTTAAGACATTGTGTAATGTAAGTATAATGTGTAAAAAAAAATCTTAAAAATCTAATAGTGATTTGGCAGAGACCAAAGCATGGAGGGCCTTGAAATGCTGCTCTATTTGTTATCTATTATTATAAAGCAACTACCATAAACTTAATATCTTAAAACAGCACCCATTTACTTAGGTCAGAACTCAGGGCAGGCTCAACTGTGCTCTCTGTTTAAGGTCTCACAGGATTCAAATCAAGGTGTTACCTGGGTGGAGGCTCCGGGGGTGAATCCTCTTCTGGGGCATTCAGATGTGGGAGGAATTCAGTTCTATGCAGTTGTAGGGCTGAGCTCGCCATTTTCTTTTTCTTTTTTTTTTTTTTTTTTTTTTTTTTGAGACAGAGTCTTGCTCTGTCGCACAGGCTGGAGTGCGGTGGTGCAGTCTCGGCTCACTGCAACCTCTGCCTCCTGGGTTCAAGTGATTCTCATGCCTCAGCCTCCCAAGTGGCCGGGATTACAGGCGTGCACCACCATGCCGGCTAATTTTTTTTTTTTTTGTATTTTTAGCAGAAACGGGGTTTTACCGTGTTAGCCAGGATGGTCTCGATCTCATGACCTCGTGATCCTCCTGCCTTGGCCTCCCAAAGTGCTGGGATTACAGGCATGAGCCACCACACCCTGCTGAGCTCACCATTTTCTTACTGCCTATTGGCTTGGGTCACTCTCAGTTCCTAGAGGCCACTCTTTGGTTTTTGCTCCTGGCTCTTTTTATCTTCAAAGATAGCAACAGTGTATTGAAATGTTCCCTTGCTATGAATTTCCCTTTTGCTACTAGCTGGAGAAAACTCCAGCTTTCAAAGAGGTTATTTGATTAGATTAGGCAAATCTCCCTTTTGATTAATGCAAAGGCAGTTGATTGGTGGCTTTAATCACATCTGCAGAATTCCTTTGCCATATAATATATTAATGGCATTATCCTTGCCATGATATTTCATCATATTTACAGCCTCTGTATTAGGGTAGGAAATTTGGTGGGGTTGGTGGTATGTGGGCATTTTAGAATACTGCCTACCACACATTCTGTATTGAGGGGTTTGCGTGTGATTCAGAATATATTTGTATTCCTTTAGAAAGATTGCTGTGGAAGCAGGGAGGAGGATGTGGCAGAAAGGAAAGATACTGGCAGGAGAAAAATCCCACTCTTAGCAGTCTCCATTTTGATTTTGTAATGTCGTTTGATGTTATTTAACAGATGTTTCAATCAGAAATGTGTGTTTAATAGTATGCCAACTAGAATGATTAACCTGGACCAGAACAAGAGTCATAAGCCAGTCATTGAACTGTTCATTACTTCAGGTCAATTCATATACAGAATAATTTCATAGATTAGGTTTTATTTCAGTCAGCTTTATTTCACTTTCTAAAGTGAAGAGTTGTTTAAACCTCGGATCTCATTAACAGCATTTTAATAAACACAGTATTAGGGTGGGTTTACTTCCCTAGATGGCGAATCTCATGGATTATATGTTGATTCTTATTGGCTTAATTTTTGAATCGGGCATTATTTATTGTAATTCTTTAGTCTTACAGTTTTGCATGTTTGAAGCTATATTTTTTTCCTCTGAATACCACATTTGCCACATCTCAGAGATATTTTTGATGTTTCTTAATCATTTAAAAATAATACATGATTTTTCTTCTTGATTGAAACTCTGCCGTTATATAGAAAGGACTTTTAAATTTTGCCAGTGGATAGATTTGGGAGTTTATCCTTATATTATGAATTTCTAATTTTTATTGTATTAGGTCTAGGGACGCATCTGCTTTTACTGGATATAACCTAGGAAATACCTGCTTTTTAAAATATGTGGACATTTCTTTATGACCATACATGTGAAGTTTTTTTGAAAATTCTATGTACATTTGAATAGGATGTTTTCTCTATTTTTGGAATTCAGAGATCTGCGTGTATTTTATGTGTCTGTTTGAATCAAAACCGATCATTGTTATTATTTATTTCATATCTACTTAATATCCTCATTTGAGAGCTATGTTAAAGTCTAATCTATGCATGTTATTTCTACTCAGCTTTACTTTCTATATGTGACATATATTTATTAGGTGTATAAACTAATGACTATGGCTTCTTTTGGAATTTACACTGCAACATAAAACTTACGTTATTATAAATTATCTTTGACTTGTTCACTGCTTTTTAGTTTAAATTCTGTTTCTTTGCAATTATTGCTATACCTGCATTTTTTGGATAGCGTTTGTGTTTTTTCCCCTCAAGTCTGTTTTTGAATTGTGTATGTCACTGTGCATTGTGCATATGTATGAATATATATGTATGTATATATATATATATACAGCCGCTCCTGTGTTGCTGTAAAGAAATACCTGTCGCTGGGTAATTGATAACAAAAAGAGGTTTAATTGGCTCACGATTCTGCAGACAGTACAGGAAGTGTGGTGCTGGCATCTGCTTCTGGTGAGGGCTTCAAGAAGTTTGAAATCATTTAGCCGGTTGCGGTGACAGGTGCCTGTAATCCCTGCTACTCAGGAGACTGAGGCAGGAGAATCGCTTGAACCTGGGGGGCGGAGGTTGCAGTGAGCCGAGATCGGGCCATTGCACTCCAGCCTGGGCAACAGAGTGAAACTCTGTCTCAAAAAAAAAAATAGATAATAAATTTAAAAAAAAAGTTTGAAATAACGGTGGAAGGAGAAAGGGGAGCAGGCATCTCACATAGCAAGAACAGGAGCAGAGGAGATGGGTGGAGATGCCATACACTTTTGAACAACCAGATCTTGTGAGAACTCACTCGTTATCGCAAGGACAGCACCAAGCCATGAGGGATTTGCCCCCATGACCCAAACACCTCCCATAAGGCCCCACCTCCAACATCGGGGATTACATTTCAACATAAAATTTTGGCGGGGACAAATATCCAAAGTATTTCATTCATTTTATATTATATATGTGTACACACACACACATACATAAATGAAGTCTGTAGTATAGTTACATGTAAAATATGTGTATGTGTTAAGTAGTATATTTTGCATATTTTGAAAGTTGCTGTCTTTTACTAGAGAATTTAAACTATTTACATTTGTTATCCGTGGACTTGAATGTTAGCTTAACAGACATTAAAATTTTGGTTTTAAATAATTTCTTATAGACCTAGGAAAATAATGATTTTTTGGGGGGTTTCTTTTTAATTCAGTATTGGTAATGAGAACTGATGCCCGATTCTTCTTTTTTTGTAATGATCTGTTTTCTTTTTTATGTGGCTCCAAGAATTTTCCTTTTATCCTTGTTATTTCAAACTTTCTGGGAAGTTTTTACCTGAAGCTGCCATTCAGGGAGTTTAAGGAGGCATTGTTACAGATCAAGAGTGAGTATTTTTGTAGGGATACAGAGATAAGTGGAACAGTGATAATGACTCTTTGGGTTTTAGATTCCTCATCTGTTGAATGAGGATTATGCTTAATTAAATGTTAGCTTTTATTATTAGATATATACATAACTTTTCCTTTAGAATTTTGGTGATTATAATCCCTCCTATTTTCTCCCTTTCTGGTACTCATATAAAACAGACGTTGCACCTTCTGGATCAGATTTTCATGTCATTCTACCTCTTTCTCTTGCTTTCCATCTTTGTTCTTTATTACTGCATCCTGGGAGAATCCTAGTTGCCTAACACTAAAAACAGATTGGTGAAGATTAAAAACAAATTTGGAGCATGGGGAGCCTTACAATACTTATTTATTGGAGCACGTAGCCTAAAACCATTGCTATAGTTGGTACAGAATAAATACTGGATAATTAATTAAATGAACTGTGGAATATTTAACTTCTTGGTATTTTTTTATGATACAACTTTAATCTCAGAAATTTTGTTCATTCTGTTGTGTTTTATAGATACATTTTGACAGATTATTTCAATCTATTAAATAAAAGTTTTGAAAATTCCTCAGACTCATTCTTAAAATTGGTAATATGAGTTCTCACTGAGTTTTTGTTGTTCTTATTGTGTTCTTGGATTAATATGGGAAAATATTTATAACATGTTACTTTTTTTCCTTTTCTTACTCCCTGTCTTTTTAATGACGAATAAAAGTAAAAAGAAAAAATGCTGTCTAGGAATTTTCTTTATTGATTCAAATAAACCATTTAGTTGATAAACCATTTAAGGGCTTTTTTTTTTTTTAATTTTTATAGACAGGTTCTCACTTTTGTTGCCCAGGCTAGAGTGCAGTAGCGTGATCACAGCTCACTGCAGCCTCAACCTCCTGGGCTCAAGCAATTTTCCCACCCCAGGCTCATGAGTAGCTGGGACTATAGGTGCATGCCAGCCACCATGCCTACCTAATTATTGTATTTTTTGTAGAGATGGAGTTTCACCACGTTGCCCAGGCTGGTTTCGAACTCCTGAGCTCAAATGATCCACCTGCCTCAGCCTCCGAAAGTGCTGGAGTTAAAAGCGTGAGCCACCATGCCCGGCCAAGAGCTGTTTACTTTATCCCTCCTTCCCAAATGTTAATTAGCTTTGTAATTGTTACTTATGTATTATATATTACTTATTATATTATTAATATTTTAACTTGCTTGATTTCTTTTATGTGTAGTGTATAAGAGTGTTGACATTTGAGAAGTTCCCTGTAGAAATCTATTCTTTGATATTGTCTATGATTTTACAAGTCCTTTTTATTTGGTTTAGGAAGATACATTCCAGACTGTGTATATATAGTAAACGTTTTCTTTTAATGCCGAGTGCTCTTCATTAGCTATTTAATTGTAACATATGGGTTTGAAGCGTTCCCCTAAATGTAGTGTTTTATTTTCCTTCTTTTATTCACTGATACCTTTATATGATATTGTAAATTAGTATGTTAGATATATTCCAGTACTTTTCGTATTAGTTTAGCTAATATAATATTTTTCATTGCAGATATGATTAAGAGAACATATTGGTGTTTCTAAAATGAGAAAGACATTGAGAAGCTGGTCAATTTAAATTATTTTCTGTTATTATATACTTACCTCTCATTATATTTTATCTGCCAAGATTATTTTTAGTGCAAAAGGCTTCTGCAAAACTTGCCATATGGTATCAAAATAAGCGATTTTAGATTTTAACAATTTAGCAGAAATTAGTTATGCTAATGAGTTGTTATAAATATTTTTCAACAGATTGATTGTACTTTTTCTTTCGACATTTACGTGAACTTTCTGTTTGGACATTTAGACTACCAAGGTGTTGTATTTGCAGTTAATTCTGGGTTCTGTTAATGCACTAAACATATTTAGATACCTTGGGAGTTACAATATAAAAAATTACCTGTTTTGTAAAAGCTGGTTATTACACTTTATCAATGAAGACAAATATTTTTTCTGTGTTTCTAATACATTAATACCCTTGAGTGCCAAAATAGCACTGAAATGTTATTCTGTATACTTATAAATATTATATAAAATTAAAGTGTCACAACAGTAATTAGTGTTTATGAGTTATTTAGAAGCTTCTCCTGCTTCAGCCTCCTAAGTAGCTGGGACTACAGGTGCCTGCCACCACGTCCGGCTAATTTTTTGTATTTTCAGTAGAGATGGAGTTTCACTGTGTCAGCCAGGATGGTCTCGATCTCCTGACCTCGTGATCCGCCCGCCTTGGCCTTCTAAAGTGCCAGGATTACAGGTGTGAGCCACTGGGCTGGCCAAAGTTTTGTATCTCTTTCTTTTCTTCTTTCTGATTCGGCCCTCAGGAGTCATTTAGCTTTGTTATGTTGATTCAATGCAGTAGACTGATGACAGTGAGGAAGAGTTTGATAGTATGTGAAATACAGATTTACACATAAAACATTGAAAACAATTATAATTTTAACTGCTGTAGTCCCTGGTTAATTAGCAGAATATAAAGTCAGTGTAGTAACATGTGAAGATATCCACAGTAATGTTAGCAGGGTCCAACTGTCTCTGCTACGTGAGGCTCCAGTTATCTCAGCTAAGCTGTTTATGAGCCACACTCACAAACAAGATCACCAAAAGTTAAGACTTTTTGGTATATGTATAGGAACACTTATCTATTAGGGCCTGTTTGAAGCAGCATTTTTGGTGCTTTGGATACAAAGATAGTATGGTGCCTCAACTGAAGGATCTTGGATTAGGATGAGAAAAAGATAAACTGATCATGTAATGGCATAAGCAAGTAGGTACTATGTAACGGTGTAAACAAAAATTTATGTTAGATAGTCATTTCCCACAGAGAGATTTCATACTGTACAGTACAGGGCCCATCAGACTCTCTTCAAAGAAAATGATGCTCAAAATGGACTTGGGAGAATGAGGAAGAGTTTGTGAATCATTCTAAGGGAAAACTGAATAAGTAAATGCAACATTTTACATAATTTCTTCTGACTTCTTATGTGTTCACTTGCCCTAGACTGCCCCTCTTGTTTGGGGCTTATTTCTGTGTGTTTTACCACTTGCAAGATAATGGAGGCAGGTTGAAATGGGAAAGATACCAGATGACTAATTTTTTTCCCCCACATTTCCATCTTTTGTTAAGAAATTTGAAGTTGATTGCTACATTGAAGTATGTAGTTTTTTTTTTGTGAGTCTAACTATTTATGTCCCTGTTAACTTATAATTGATGAGTTTATTTTGTATTTATTTTTAGGCAGGGTAAAAAATAGTAATATGTCTCATAAATAATATATGTTCCTATTACTAGTTTTGGTGGGATTTAAAAACTTTATAATAATCCTCAATATAGAAACCTGCCCCTTTAACCATATTACTATTTGCTTTAAAAAAAAATCTTTAGGTTTTGTTTCAAAAATGCTTCACAATTTATTTTTGAAAATATAAGGAATGAAATTCTAACTTTCTAATTTGAATGGAAGGATGAGTTGGTAGCACACGAAGCACTAAATTGAGTAATGTAGATTTTATTATTTCTAACGAATCCTTTGTTTAATATTTTGCAGGTTCCATTTGTTTACTTGTGATGTACAGAGTTTTTTATACCTTCCCAGCTTATATTTGAATATTCCTTTTCAAGGTTTTATAAAGAGATTTCTCTCCTTTACCCCTTTCAGCGATGTGCATTTTGTAAGCACTTTGGAGCCACTATCAAATGCTGTGAAGAGAAATGTACCCAGATGTATCATTATCCTTGTGCTGCAGGAGCCGACACCTTTCAGGATTTCAGTCACATCTTCCTGCTTTGTCCAGAACACATTGACCAAGCTCCTGAAAGATGTAAGTTTACTACGCATAGACTTTTAAACTTCAACCAATGTGTTTACTGAAAATAACAAATGTTGTAAATTCCCTGAGTGTTATTCTACTTGTATTAAAAGGTAATAATACATAATCTTTAAAATCTGAGGGATCATTGCCAGAGATTGTTGCGGAGGGAAATGTTATCAACGGTTTCATTGAAATTAAATCCAAAAAGTTATTTCCTCAGAAAAATCAAATAAAGTTTGCATGTTTTTTATTCTTAAAACATTTTAAAAACCACTGTAGAAAGATGTAAATAGGGACTGTGCAGTATTTCTGACTTATACTATAAAATTATTAAAAAGTCAATCAGTATTCAACATCTTTTACACTAAAAAGCCATCCAGTTGAAGAATTAGAAGACAGTTCACTCAGGTGTTATTTCAGGATTTACGTTAATAGGAACACCAAACACTTCTGAAATTCTTGGAAATTGTGTATCCCTGATAGGTGTGATAGAAATCTCTGCTAGCACCTTTTCATGATTCATCTATCTTAGTCATCTGTAATCTGCAGTTGTGCTGTTTTTCTTTCTTTTCCAAATAGTATTTTATAATTCAATGAAAATGTTTAAATGCTTGAAATTTACATTATACAGGAAATTATAACTCTACTGTTGTATCATTAAATAGAGATCTCTCCTTTTTCTTACTATGTGTTTTCCCAATGAGCATGTATATTTTGGGATATTTTTTCTCCTAGTCTATTGAATTTCCAATCTTATTATGAAACCTCCATGATATTTTATTCAGTCTTTTTTATGTCACCTCTTAGTCACCTAATGTTAGCTTTTACCTGTTCCTTAGCAATGTTGATAAAAGCTTTTTTTCCTATCTTCTCCAGGTCTGTGAAACATAAGTATAGCTACCCCAGGCTTAAACTAATCTCAAATACGGTTAGTTACATGATCATTACCCTTTATCTTTGTTGAGTAACCTAATTTCATTTTCCATTAAAATTATTTTGTGTCCACATATGTAATCATATCACCCTTAGTAACCTAGTGTACAGACAAATTATAGGTAAGGCAAACCAAAATTTTAAATTATATTTAAGCTAATAAGGGATTTAAAGTTTTAAAATGCTTTAGATTGTACACTCTTCAATCTGGAAGAGAAGAACTTTCATGCACAGCAACTGTTGTGGCTACTATTTATGTACTGAGTTACTTCAGCAAGTGCATAAACTGGCAGTTATCAGAGTGGATTATATTCTGGGTGGCCTAATAAATATACTTTGTCATCTCAATAAAACAATTTTATGTGTATGTAAGAATCTGAATTTTATTCAGCCTTTTGTGTAGTCATGCTTTAGACCTCAGTAAACAACATGCAAACTTGTATAAGAATGTTGCTCTAATATTGGAACATTTTATTACTCAATGGCAGTGCTACTTTCTACTGAAAACTGTGTTCTAATAGTGTATACCTTCAGTTACATGTTAGTAATCATAAATCAGTTTGTAAAATAATAAACTAAATACTGAGGTGAGATAATTTGCTGTTGTTGATCATGTATATAATGAAAAGTTTATGGCAACATAAAGCTAAAAGATATACTAAAATTATGAGTACTCTGCCTTTTTCCAAAATAGACTTATGGAGACTCATAAAAATACATAAGCAATAGGATAAAACTAAAAATAAGTAAGGAAATTTGGCAATGGAAAATTTAGATAGGATAAATATGAAGATAATAGAGAGACCCCCCAAAAATATGTAATTCCAGACAAACCACAAATTTGGCCCCATACCTTTTCAACAGTCAATACAAAGAAGGAAATATGAGCCCTTAATCTGATTCTTACTATTTATAACATCACTTGATATAATGATATAATAATAAGACATCCCTTGATAGAATGCAATGAAAAATTGTCTTAAAGTAGCCACCTTGCAGTAGAAAAATACCAGTTTCATAAGGCTGTTTCTTATAGCAGCCTTCAAACTAAGTCAGTGGTATAAAATCAAGGCCTAAATGACTAAATTAGATTTCTTTGGTTTTTTTTTTTTTTTTTTTTTTTTTTTTTGAGATGGAGTCTCGCTCTGTCACCCTGCCTGGAATGCAGTGGCATGGCCTTGGCTCACTGCAAACTCCGCTTTCCGGGTTCAGGTGATTTCTCCTGCCTCAGCCTCCCAAGTAGGTGGGATTACAGGCGCACACCATAACACCCAGCTAATTTTTTGTATTTTTAGTAGAGACGGGGTTTCACTATGTTGGCTAGATTTGTCTCGGACTCCTGACCTCGTGATCTGCCCGTCTCAGCCTCCCAAACTGCTGGGATACAGAGGTGTGAGCCATCGTGCCCGGCCTCCTTGGGGATCTTAAACAGTGCATTCTAACTACACAGCGTTCTGACCCATCTGTTAAGACGATCATAATCTTGGATTAAGTTCCAAGGATATAATTTAAAGAATATTGCAGATAGGATGTTTTGTCACCTTTTTAACATCTTTTATAAATATTTCTTCCTATCCTAATTGTGTGTCATGGCAGAAGTTACTTTTTATGCTTTTAAAATGATACTGTCTTAAATCATAGTGTTATTATGAGGGTTAAATGAAAACAATGAATGGAATTCACATAAGATTGTGCCTTGTATATATTAATTGCTTTAAAAAGCATAGTTATTTTACCTCCTATCTAAAGCTTAAGTTATGAGAATGATAATACATATTGAGTATATGTATTTTCTGTTGCTTCCTAAAGGGCAGAGCAGTAGCTGTGATAGTTGACTGAGTTAGGAGTAAGGTTGACATCTTTTTATAAAAGTTGAGAAATTTAACAAAATCATGCATCTCATTATAAAGAAATCCGCTAAAGAGAGTATCTGTGAAGAAGGCCAAGATTTTCATCAGGAAACACTTTTAGGGTGCTCTGTCATAGGTAAATGGCTGGTCATTGTTGCAACATTGTTTTCATGATGATACAAGGATACGTTAACCTTGTCTGGAAATTTTACACTAAAAATCCATCTAGGAGATACAACGAGATATACTTCCTGAATAGGAAAACTGAATGGTAAGAAGCCAGTCATGCAAGATAAGAGGAAAGAACATTCCAGGGAGAGGGAACAGACCACTACACAGACCTTGAGGAGTGGACTTGGCATGATTCATGAACAGACAGCATGTCATTTTACTTGGAGCATAGTAGCCTACTAGGTGGGGGTAGTAGAGACATCATCAAGGTGAACAAAGGCTAGATCATGTAGGCTTGTAAGCAAGGGAAGGAGTTTGGGTTCTGTTCGGTCTGCAATGAGAAGTTTTTGCAAGGTTTAAACATGGAAATGCTACACATCTTAATTCACCCCCTGTTCCTCAATGTATTTACTCATCATTTAGCTTTAATTCCTTTTACTTCACTTAAGCTTTAACTCCAGCCTCTTTTCTTTGGTTATCTTTGTATTTCTTGACATTAAGTCCTGCTGCTTTTCTTTTACCCTAAATTCTGTCAGTCCTCTGACCTTTCTTATCTACCTGCCAATGATACGGTCTAGCCTCTTTGGATGACATCCGTGATTTATTTTTTCTTTCCAGAGATTCTCTTTTATAGACAAATCACTCAGCCCAGTGTCCTGCCAGTGATGAAAATTGGCAGATGATAGGGTGTGATGGAAATTAGAAAGCAATGCTGATTTGGTCCTTCTTCAATTCACACTGTATGACAGCTATTTTGACTTTTCTTGCTGTTCACCAATGCTTTTATTCTTATGTGTTGTCTGGACTTTCTTAAGCAATAGTTTCATCAAGTTTAAGGATCTGTGATAAGCTCTGTTCTAATTTAAGCTCAATGTTTTTGTCTTTTTTATTTATCTCTTCTCTTTTTACAGCTGTCTCTTAGGAAATGACCTTTTCTAAAGATGATCATTTTGTTTCCTCTCACTTTTCTCCTGCCATAAGAACCTTGCTCCCTTTACTTCATTTAGCTTCATTGTATGCCACTGTTGGCATTTCGTGTCTACTTTTGTGTATACTCAAATACTCATCACTTTCATTGATCACTAGTAAAGTTTGCTGAGGAGTCAATTTGATTAGTAGTCAAGAGCCTGATCTTAGAAGCCAAATAGACCTGGATTTTACTCCTCTCCCCTCTTAAATTATCTTTAGTTATAGCCTGTCTTTTTGCTTTTTCAACTGTTTAAAGAAAAATTTCTTAGTTGATTATTGCTTTAAACTTAATGTCTCTGGCTTACAGACATGTGTGTCTAAATATTCATATTTAATTTCTATGATGACACCAAACCTATCCAGTAGTATTGATAATCTTCTTATACACGACCTCCATAAGGTTGTTTCAGTATTCCCACACATCTTCTCTCTGACTGGGAGGGTTGGAACCAACCTCATTTCTTTGTGTAGTGCTTTTAAAAATAATATTGTTTTTCACATAAGGCATATTAAGTGTTTTTGCACCAGATGTATTACATGGATGTTTTTCTTTGACTAATTTATTACCAATGATCCATAGTAATCAGATAACACAGCAAGGTTGTCAGTAAGGAATTGGTGGAGATCATCATAGTCTAAAATGTGATTTTTGTGACAATGACAGTTGTCTTGTTGCAGAGTGAACTTTGTTGTATATAACAGTGCTGTGCAGTGTAAATATAATGTGAGCAACATAAGTAATTTTTCTAGTGGGTATGTTAAAAATTTGAGGAAAAGGAAACATTTGGGA
The DNA here is from genome assembly GCF_000001405.40 of Homo sapiens. NCBI lineage: Eukaryota > Metazoa > Chordata > Mammalia > Primates > Hominidae > Homo > Homo sapiens. Next base: position 10,459,001 of record NC_000021.9, read on the forward strand.
ACAATTGTAGTAAATTTTATTTAATTCAGTAATCCAAAATAGTAATATTTCAAATTTTGAGATACTTTTTCCCCATTAAGATTTTGGAATCCAGTGTGCATTTTATGCTTACTGCATACCTCGATTTGAACTAATTACATTTCACTTGTTCAGAAACCACATGTCGCTAGTAGCTACCATGGCAACTTGAAGTGTCAGGGGAGCAAACTCTAGAAAGTTTCACAGAAGCATTTTAGTGTTCCTAGGAGAGTATAATAGAAAAATGAATTGATTATCTGATAATTAGTTTCCGATAATTAGTTGAGTATTCCCCCAATTTTTAAAAGTTTTACGGTGAGCAAAAAGAGATCAATTTTTCAATGTACATATTTTGAAAGACAAATACTAGTACTCTCTTAATAATGAGAAACATAACATCCCAGTTATGTCCTTTCTATCAAAAATGAACCAATTTATGATGCTTCCATTGTTAGATTAATGATTTATTTTAAATGCCTATCACTTAAAGAGCCATTTAAAAGTGATTTTAGCAGTAAGTCCTTCACTTAAAATATGTTCAATAAGACTTGATTCATGTTAGGCAGTTGGGGATACAAAGTTAAAAAAGTTAAGGCCCCTGTCCTTCAAGGATTCACAGAGTTGTGCTGTAAATAAATGATTATGTAACAGAAGTTTCTTGTAAGCATATGGGTAAAAGTAATATTCAACAACTAAATGGGTATTTGGGTGTGGTAATAGGTATTCAGGAAATAATGTGCAGATTTTTTTTTTTTTGAGACAGGGTCTCACTCTGTCCCCCAGGCTGGAGTGCCGTGGCATAAACTCTAGTCACTGCAGCCTCCACCACCTGGGTTCAAGCGATTCTCCTGCCTCAGCCTCCTGAGTAGCTGGGACTACAGGCATGTGCCACCACACCCTGCTAATTTTGTATTTTTAGTAGAGATGGGGTTTCACCATGTTGGCCCGGCTGGTCTCGAATTCCTGACCTCAGGTGATCCATCCGCTTTGGCCTCCCAGAGTGCTGGGATTACAGGCGTGAGCCTCTGTGCCCAGCCATGAGCAGAGTTTTGAAGGCTGGGAGCACAGCAGAAAAACTAAATTTCAAGCAGAGGGAACAGAATGTGTAAAAGCACACAGACATGAATAGCATGTTATGTGAGGTGCATGGCAGACAACCCACCATGACCACGAAATAGTGAGTGGTTCTGAGATTCAGTTGGAAAGGGAGATAAGGACCTTTTTGCCTCATACTTGAAAATTCTGATTTTCTTTTGGGTGAAAAATGAGGTATTGGTGGAGTTTTAATTTATACAGAGGTTAACAATTAGATTTACATTTTTGAAAGATTGTTCTGGATGTGTAGAAAATGATTTAGAGAGGACGTCAGAACCATAAGTAGAGATGATTTGATGCAGAAGATACTGCAGTTAGCGAGACAGAGTATTAGGTAGGTGCAAAGGTAATTGCAGTCTTTGCCATTAAAAGTAATGTCAAAAACTGCAGTTACTTTTGCACCAACCTAGTATGATAGACTAAACTATAAACATATAAAGAAAGAATGATGTGTAGGAAGTTTAATACATAAGAATTGGGATCTGGCTGGATGTGTTGGGTCAAAGCTGAGTTCAGAGTCAACAATGATACTAAGGTTTCTGCCTTTATCTGTTCTTGAGAAAAATGGATGCTGTTTCGGGTTTTTAAAAAAGTTTCACTTTAGAGCAGTTGAGATTGAGTGTTTAGAACACTTGGCTATTGAGATCCAGTAAGACTTGAAGAATAAAGGTTTGGGGTTTATGAAAGAATTCTAGGGCCAATAATACAGATTTGGGAATCATGGTGGCATTTTATGGCGTGAGAGTTGATGTGATCACAAAGGGAAACTATGGGGGATTAGGAAAGAAGGAAAAGGATGAAATCCTAAGAAACTCCAGCATTTAGAAAGATTGTATAGGTACAAAAGCCAACAAAGGAGGATGAGATGAAAGTGGGGGAAAACTAAGGAGAAATTAGGAGAGAGTTGCCATGATAGAAACAAAGGAAAGGGGCGTTTTAATGTGGGAGTGGCTAGCAATGCAAATGCTACAAAGTGCAAAAAAGCCAAAGACTAAATCGGGTTTCCTATGGGCATTGGCAGCCTCACTAATGTAGCTTCAGATGAGTATTAGGTGTTAAGCCAGCCTTCGTGAAGTATGTCAGAGGTCCAGCCAGCGTCCACATTTTGAAGCCTGTTTTTGTACTGCCCTCAAGCGAGGAATTATTTTTACATTTTTAAAAGAGTGTAAATAAAAACAAAAGGTCTGACTTTTTGTCAGAGACTGCTATGGCTCACAAAGCCTTAAATATTTACTACCTGGCCCTTTTCAGGAAAAGTTTGCAGACTCCGGTACAAATAAAAGAAATATATTTTTACTCTGTTTCAAGATGCTTGACTGGAAAAGAAAGAACGTATGAGTCAGAGAGAAATTGATAGGATTGACCAAACCTTCAAAAAATGGGAAAAAGGCTGAGTGCGGTAGCTCACACCTGTAATCCCAGCACTTTGGGAGGGTGAGGCAGGAGGATTGCTTGAGCTCAGGAGTTTGAGACCAGCCTGGGCTATGTGGTGAAACATCGTCTCTACTAAAAATATAAAAATTAGGTGGGCATGGTGGCACACGCCTGTAATCCCAGCTACTGGGGAGGCTGAGGCGTGAGAATCCCTTGAACCTGGGAGGCGGAGGTTACAGTAAGCCTAGATCGCGCCATTGCTCTCTAGCCTTGGTGACAGAGTGAAACTGTCTAAAAAAAAAAAAGGAAAAATAATGGTTCATATACTTTGTGATACTTGTTAAATACAGGCATATTTATATATATTATCAAAGGTTGGTATGATAAGCTTGACTGGAAAAGAAAGAACATATGAGTCAGAATAGTAGATAGGAATGATCAAACCTTCAAAAAATGAAAAGATTCATATACTTTGTGATACTTGTTATATACAGGCATATTTTTTATACATTATCTAAGATTAGTATGATTTTAGAATACATTATTTTCCTTATTTTGCAATATGCATAAGTTTAACTGTATATTTGTCAGGGCAGTTTATCCTTATATTTTCTGTTTTATATGGTAAAAGAACTGTTAGTACATTTTCTTTTAATCCACATTTAGGGATGGATGATGTCCATAATTATGTGGATTTTAATGCTTTTACAACTAGAAATTAATATAGATGAATATAGAATTAGTATATTAAGTAATGTGTTTGTGTATGAATATGTAGCTTCTGTCTTTAATGTTCTTCCACATAAGACATTTTCCAGTAATCAAAAAAAAGCCCTTATGTGATTTGAATAGTCTGTTTATGCTTAAGAAGCATCTTAGTCTAATTGATATTAACGTTTCTTAATTTTGTCTCTTGTCTGATTTTGTAATTTCAAAATATATTTAGCATTCAAAGAAAATGTTTATGTTACACTGCAAAGCATTTCTTAGTTGGTATTTTCCTTGTTTGGTTCTTTGCAGTGAGCATATATTGAGCATTAATTAGGTATCCAGCATTATCATTGGCATTAGGAATAGAAAATTAAAGAAGACCTGCTTATGGTCTTAAGTAGATATAGCCACAAATAATTGCAAAACTATACGATTAAATTTAATGTGGTTACATTTAGATTAAATACCCTACAGTGTTTTTATTGATACCTCTTTCTGATTAGATGACAATTCAATGTGAATAACTTCAAATGTCTGAAAGGTTCATGATGCAAATCCTTTCAAATGATTTTACTGTGTAGTCAGAAAAAATTTAAATTCTTATACAACAATTTCATTGTTTTACTGTTAATTATAGCGAAGGAAGATGCAAACTGTGCAGTGTGCGACAGCCCGGGAGACCTCTTAGATCAGTTCTTTTGTACTACTTGTGGTCAGCACTATCATGGAATGTGCCTGGATACAGCGGTTACTCCATTAAAACGTGCAGGTTGGCAATGTCCTGAGTGCAAAGTGTGCCAGAACTGCAAGTAAGTTTTCATTTCAATTCAAAGCTGTGTATTGGGTTTAAGAGGGACCCTATTACTAGGCGCTAAAAGTTTGTGTAATATAATAGAGGTTGTTCATATTTTGGCTGTATTCATTCAGAGTGACTTCATCATACTTAAAAAAATTACTGGATATTAACGTTTATATTATTTTGAAAGAAGTCTAAACAAAACTGATTTTAATCATTTAAATTGCTCTGATCTTCTAAAGAGCTAATTTAAATTTACCAACAGTTTAAAAAATAAGCGATATTAACAATTTAAAACAAGCATGAGAAGAATAAAGTAGCTTGTCTTCAGGGGCACCGGGGAGGGGATGTGATAGGATTTAAACCTCTCACTACAGACGTAGAAGAATTAGAGTTGAGTCAAAACGTCAGTCATGTGTTTGAATTTCCATTCCAGGAAGGACACTTTCTACTATTATTTTAATGTACATCTGCATCTCTCTAAAAGCCACCTTGAGTAGATCCTGGTCAGCATAATTCCAAAATGAAATATGTGGCATTTACAAATTTGTAAGGGGGTTATCTTTTCCTATTGTATTTCATCTCTTGGTCATTTCTCCAGTCTTTTCTGTGATTTCCGCTTGCACCCCCATGATTCTAATGAGCATGATAATTTGGGGATGTTACCAGCATCTTCATTTACAGGCTGAGAATTTTTGTTGTAACCAGCAAGAATTATGCCCAACTGCCATGATCAGTCTGTTTTTATTATTTAGTTTTATAAGAAATAAGCGTCAATATCTTAGAGTTACATGACATAAATAGGACTATGTACCTTCATATTTTGGTAAAAATTAGATAAAATATTCAGTAAACATTTATTCGATACCTTGTATCTGCACTCAGTTTCTTGGGAAGGATTAAAAGAGCTTGAAGGAAGAGTACTTGTCCTCCAAGATCTTTGCATGTAGCTGAAGAGATAAAACATGTGACTTTTTATGGAGAGGTTGAACTGAATAATAATTGGAGGCCAACTGACCCATCTTCCTGTTGACTTCTGTTTATCCCCCAGATTTCATTCAGAGATTCCTCTCTCAGCTCTTCTTGCTTTCCCTGTTTTTTTCTCTTCCCCTCCTCTTGAATTTAAAATCATAGTATCTGAAAGTAATTATAGTCAAAAATCTCAACAGAGATAACGCTGTAGGACAGGGGCCCAATCTTTGGGGGCAGAAGAGTGTTTAAAGAAAGGTTTTAGGTTTTCAATTATAATTCTTAATAATTATGACAAGATTCGTCTTTTGAAATAATTATTCAGCATTTAATTGCTTAATAGACATTCTAAGCACTTGAACCTGCATTACATTTAATTCTCACAGTAATGTTTATTATTCCCGTTTTATACCTGAAACTCAGAGAGCTTTAGTCTAAGTTGTTTAGTGACACAGCTAGAAAACAGCAGCCTGAATACAAATAGAGATCTGATGCCAAATTTGATCCTCTTTATGTTATATGACAGTCTTTTCAATTTGCTGTGCCAAGATTTGATCTTTCCACACAGTAGCACATAGCAGTTATAGCGCCTTCCTCTCAAAAATTATATTTTAAAAGTAAAGATCAGAGGCTATTCATCTTGCCTTAACCCTTCCTCCTTTGCAGGAATCCTAAAATGGCTAGAGCAAGTTAACCATAGGTGAGCATTGAGTAAAGATCACCATTTAGGAGGGAATCCTTATGGTAGGGTTACCTCTGTTACTATCTGCAGAGACAAAACAGATACTGAGGTATTTATGAACTGTGCGGTTCCCAGGACTGATGATTTTCATGATTACTTATGTTGCAAAACATAAGTTTAAAGATAAGCCATCATTAATGCTATCTTACTTTTTAGACAATCGGGAGAAGATAGCAAGATGCTAGTGTGTGATACGTGTGACAAAGGGTATCATACTTTTTGTCTTCAACGAATTATGAAATCTGTACCAACCAACGGCTGGAAATGCAAAGTAAGTTGTTTACTTTTTTAAATCCTCTGTATGTTTTATATGGAGAACAGACAAATCGGATATCTATTCAAATCTATACATTACCATCAGCTTTTTAAAAACAGCTTTATTGACATATAACTGACATACAGTAAACTGTACACTCTTCAAGATAATGAACATAGTCATCACCGTCAAAGTTTCCTGGTGCCTCTTGGCTTGCTTTGTGGCTGTTCAAACCCAAACCCTCTGTCTTCCTAGTCTGCTTTTTCACTATAGATTAGTATTCACTTCCTAGAATTTTTAATAAAAGCTTCATATAGTATATACTCGTTTTTGGTCTGGCTTCTTTAACTCAGTGTAATTATTTTGAAATGCATCCCTATTGCTGCACAGATCAGTAGTGATTCTTTTGTATTACTGAGTGCTGGAGATACCACAATTTGTGTATTGAATCACCTGTTGGTGAACATTTGGGTCCTTTAAAATTTTGAGCTATTATAAAAAATGCCGATGAACTCATTAACTAACTTCCTACCTCACTTGGCTTCTGCCCCTTCAGGGGGAGGCGTTCAGAGCCGGGTTGGGGGCAGTGGGGTAGTGGAGATAGCCCTTGGAATCCAAGGTGCGGTTTAGCTTTTAAGCTTAGTCTTCCTGGGCTGCTGGTGTCGCGAGGTTGAGGGATGGAGATGACCCTCAGGTGCTGCATGGGCCTGGAGCGGGTTCTCCCTGGAGCTGGAGAGGGCGTGATGGCCCGTGTGCAGGAGTGGAAGGCACAGCATTGTCATTGCCCTTCTCGGAACTGCTTTTTCTAGGGAGGAGGTGGAGGGCCTGGGAAAGGAGGGTGATGTGGCCAGAACCCCAGGTCCCTGGTGTGGGCAGGAGGTGGGAGCAGATGCAGAGAGATTCTGTACCTGCACCCTGTCCTCGCCAGTGAGGTTTGGCACCTAGAACTGCAAGCAGTATTACCAGGTTCTGTTGTGGTCTTCAGCAAGTTCTACTAGGCATCTGCCTGAGTGGTGGGGGTTGAGGGGAGGGGCTTTCTCTCCTGGGGGGAAAAAGAGCTGCTGGGTAACTGTGCTCAGCTGTGGCTACCTGGGAAGTGGGACCTGAGGGCTGAAGGATTGTGATGAACTCTGGCCTGCTTCCTCAGGTAGTTCAGATTCCTTCTCTTGCTGAATGACATCATTGGAAAGGAAAAACTCTGCTATTTGACTGATTTGTATATTTACACTCTTATCTTCACTCAGTTCCTCTACTTGCCTTTTTACTTTTAATACGAAGTTGAATTTGTAATTCATTGTCTTTCCTAAGGAAAAAGGACATTTAAGACTATAAGTTTACCTTAGGCTATAGCTTTGACTGAAGCCAAGTTTATTGTATTTGTAACTTTATGTATGTATATACCTTAGCGAATAACTTTGTTTTTTTTAAGTTGTGCTGAAGTATGTTAATTTATGCTTACATTTCATTTAATCAGAGAATTTAACTAAGGTAGGTTTCTTAAAATAAATGTTTTGATACTTGAAGTATTGACTTTTTAAAGGTGTAGCATTTGTGTTTATTAATTTCATTTAGTTAGATGAAGTCCTTTTACCTTATTTTTTGACTTGTTGATTCAACAAGTTACAATTGACCACTATTAATTGTTCCTATCAATTTATCATATTTTTAAACAAATAACTTGTGGCTGTTATTTAGCAAGTAGGTCAGGCCAGTGTTAATATATTGTGTTTTTTACCAGTATAAAATTGTTCTTTATTCTATGTAATGTGTTTTTTGTTGAGGGATCAGGAAGGGCAGGTATTTTGCTTTGCCTGACTCTATGGCCACGTAGGGTGTTAGTTTAACGGTTGAATGGTTATCTTTTCACATCTTATTTTGGATTCTTTTGTGTTATAAAAATGTATCTTTTGAAAAGCTTAATAGAGGTAACTGGATTGACGGTTGTAATTGAAATGCTTGGCTGTTTTGAGGCAAAATTTTTCTATTTTTCTCTTCTTTTACTTCCTGCAATGATTTATAATTCAGAATCTCATTTTGTGAATGTAAATGATTATAAATATTAAAGATATAAATTTTCTCCCATTCCCCACTGAAAATAAAGTTTTTATTCCCCTTTTCTCTGTTTGATTCGATTAACCTAGATTGTAAACCCTGTCACAATTTTCTTGCAAAAATATATTTCCTCTGTTAATTCCAACTTTACCCTCAACCTTTCAGAGTCTTGGTTGTGATCCTTTAAAAATAATTATAAAGTTTTTGAAACCCTACATGTTGGAAAGAGACTGTTCCTTTTAGGCTGGCTATAAGAACTTGGCACAGTATAATGTTTCATATTACAAATTTTTCTTTTTTATACTCTGAAAACATTTTCTTCAGTTTTTTCAGTTTATGCTGTCACGAGAAAAATCTTAACTTGAAAAAATTTAATCATAATCCTTTTTTTCTTCCTGAAAGCTTTGGGAGATGTGTGAATCCCCATCCCCGCCTCCACCCCCCGCCCCAGCACCTTTTTAAAAAAATATATTTACTTTAAAAATTACCTTCTTTACACTCTCTAATAATATCTAGTAACTACTGGATAATTTTTGTCTCTTGCTCTTAATCTTCTTTATTATGGTTTTCATTGTCTTGAGAACTGGTAGAGAATTCTGGGTGTCTTTCTCAGCTTGTTCTGTCTCCCCTTTGGTGTGCTTCTTTTCGATTTGCTCTTTGTAATCTGCTATTCTCTTTTGAGAGTGACAGGATTACATAATTTCTGGGAATACTATTGGATACTTAATCTTTTTATTCTGTTCTATGAAGGCACTATAGTGTGGTGGTTAAAAGCTTATGCTGTGGAGTCAAACTGCAGTTTTTTCAGTTACTAAATTGATGATCTTTGGCTACCTGTTTAACTTCCCTAAGTCAGTGTATAGAAGGTTAACGGTACTTACCTCACAGGGATGTTGGATTTAATGAAGTGGTATCTATAAAGTGCCCAGCACAATGCCTAACACAAAGTAAGTACAGAAACAGTTACCATAGAGTTTTTCATGGATTGAAAGGTTTGTCCTTTGAACCATTTGAAGAATGATCATCTTTCTCTGCTGTTGAATTCTTCTGTAGTTCTCTCTGTAGTCTTGAGTCATAATTTGCTCATTTGTTTGCATTTAACATTTGAGTGTTTACTGTGTGCGAACATCACTGTAGTGAAGGCTGGAGATGTTGGGGCAAATCAGTGTGCCCCCGCGGGGCTGTCAGTCTAGTTTGGGGCTGCTCCCTGGTGAGCTGGAGTGGGGTTGATCTTTTCAGGATCTTTATTGTAAACCAGTCATTGTCAGATAGGTTTCTTTTTCCTACTTTTATCTCAAGAATGTCTGTTCTTTGGTATGTTATGCGTTTTTAGAAAGTTTTTACTTGAAAATAAGTTCAAACTCTAAAAGTTGGAAAAAATAAAAATAATACCCATATCCCATTTACTTAGATATATCTGTTGTTAGCATTTCATTATCATTGGGCATGCCCTCTCTCACTTTCTCTGTGTGTGTGTGTGTATGTGTGTGTGTCTGTGTGTGTGTCTCTATTCCCCCAACCCCCTACTATTTGAGGGTTAATTACATACATTGTGCCTTTTTACCACCATTTCAGTATGTATTTCTTAATAGTAGGAATATTCTTAAAAAATCACAATCCTGCTATCAACTTCCTAAACTTACATCAATGCCATATGTTTATCTAATGTACCAGCCATATTACAGTTATGTCATTTGATCTGATGTCCTTCATAACCTACCCCTTCCTCCAAGTAGGTTCTAGGATTTAGTTTTTGTCATTGGTATTTTTGAAGAATAGAGTTCTTCTCGATATACTTGTTTTTTTCTTTTTTCAAACAGAAATTTCCCCATTTTGTTTTTGATAACCCCTTATAATTAGATGAGAGGCATGCATTATTGGCCAGAATACTGCAAAATGCTGATCCATCCTCAGGGTATCACAACTGGAAGCACACATTATTCCACTTTCCCTCATGAGAATCACCTGGTCAGGCTGTTGCCCAATTTCTATTCCCCCCTCCCTTGTATCTAATAAAGCAGTATGTGAGGATACTTTAAGACCATGCAAATATCTTGCTTTTCCTCAGAATTTCCTTCTAGATTTGAAAAACTTACTCCCTAGGCCGGGTGTGGTGGCTCACACCTGTAATCCCAGCACTTTGGGAGGCTGAAGTGGGTGGATCAGTTGAGGTCAGGAGTTCGAGATCAGCCTGGCCAACATGGTGAAACCCTGTCTGTACTAAAAATACAAAAATTAGACAGGCATGGTAGCGGGTGCCATGTAATCCCAGCTACTCAGGATGCTGAGACCGGAGAATCGCTTGAACCCAGGAGGCGAGGTTGCAGTGAGTTGGACTCATGCTACTACACTCCAGCCTGGGTGACAGAGATAGACTCTATCTCAAAAAACAGCAACAACAACAGCAACAACAGCAACAACAACAACAAACTTACTGCCTGATGATGCCATTTTAACATGCTTTCTTTTGGTTGCAAATGATGCATTTCCAGGTCTAGCACTCCCACCACATTTACCAGTTAGCCCTCTGCTTTCTTTTGTAAGCAAGAACACTTCTTTCACATGTTAAGCTTACTTACTATTAATATTGACTCATGAACTCCTATTATCTTCAATCATTTACAACTCATTACCTAATTATTTTTTGGCTCAAATAGTCGCATACTTGCTGTCAGTTGCTCCTTCAAGCTGGCACTGGTGTTCTGCCCTCACCGCTTTTTTGAACATTTCATACTTTTTGGTGTAACAAGATGTTACAAGCTCATCTTATACCTCCCATGCCCGAGTCCTGGAATAAGTCCATTGTTAAATAAGTAACCCAGATTCCTTTAGTGGGGAATGGGTGCTGGGTGTGCTCATTGCTACTGGAGGGTGTTTACTTCTTCACCCTTTCAGCAGGTGGTGTCACGAAATACATGCATGTGTATACACTTACAGAAGTTTGTCCAACCTATGGCCCGCAGGCTACATGTGGTCCAGGATGGCTTTGAATGTGGCCCAACAGAAATTCATAAAATTTCTTAAAACATTATGAGGTGTTTTTTTTTTTTTTGGGGTGTGTGTGTGTGTGTGTGTGTGTGTGTGTGTAGCTCATCAGCTGTCATTAGTGTTAGTGTATCTTGTGTGTGGCCCAAGACGATTCTTCTTTCAATGTGCTCCAGGAAAGCCAAAAGATTGAACACCCCTACACGTTATGTATATACACATAAATATTCATATACATATACATAACTTAGAAATAATGAATTTATACCAGCACCTCCAGTTCTTATCCTTCTCCACTGAGTTCTTTGCCTTTTCATTCTTGCATGTCTGTTCTTCTACAATAAAAATTCTGGGTTGTAGAGCAGCACATTTATTCAGTTGCTCAATCTAAAAAGCAAGTCTGCTTCAGTTTGCTCTCAGTAATAGATTTTATTCCCCTTTTTCTTAGTGATTTAATTTTTTAAATATAGAAGGTATTAGTATACTTTCAAAACTCAAAACTATATGAAATTTTGCTCAGAATTGTCACTGTCTCTTGTTTATTACTTATACCGCATTTCCCCCAGCCTCTTGGAAGTAACTAACTTCATTGTTTTCTGTTTTAAACCTCCTGTTATTTTTCATCTAAGAATAAGAGGATATATTGCTCTTTCAGTGAAGGTAGCATGTTGTATATGTTCTTTTGCATGTTGCTTTTTTCATGTAATAAAATCTGGAAATCACTTCCAGGCAAGTTAGGCAAGTTCAAGAGATCTCATTCTCCTTTTAAACAGCTGCATAGCACTCCATTGTGTATCTGTGCTATCGGTTACTCAACCAGTGGCCTGTGCTTTGGTATTTCAGTAGTTTATGATAATTTGCATTATAAATGATTTTACACTCCCTGGCTTTGTGCATGTGTGTTTTTGAATTCTCAGGGACAAATCTGTAGGGTAAATTCCTAGGATTATTGCCTCAGGAGTGTACACATATGTAGCTTTGTTAGATACTGTGAAATTCCCTTTTTTGGGGCTTATGGTACTTTGCATTGCCACCAGAGATGTGTGAGAGAACTTTTCCTACGTCTTTGCTAACAGGATGACTTGTTTAGCTTTTGAATGTTTGTCTGTCTTCTGGGTGAAAAGTAGTGTATCAATGTAGTTTTAATTTTTGTTTATCCTAAGAGTGAAGTTGATCGTTTTTTCATGTGTTTAAGGGTCAGTTTTTATTTCTTCTCATGAATTGTCTGTTCATGTGTTTTGCCTGTTATTGAAGATTTTGGCATTTTTCCCTAAATTTAAGAGTTCTTTATAAGTTAGGGATGTAAGCCTTTATATGTGTTACATGATGCAGATACTTTCTGCTAGCTTATTTGGTCCTTTTTTTTTTTTTTTTTTTTTTTTTTTTGCTTATTTGTGTGAGACAGTGTCTCACCCTGTCACCCCGGCCATAATACATTGGTATGGTCATAGTTCACTGTAGCCTTGACCTGGGCTCAAGCAATCTTCCTGCCTCAGCCTCCCAAGTTAGCTAGGAGTTATATGTACCACAAAGCCCAGCTAATTTTTTACTTTTGTAGAGACAGGGTCTCACCATGTTATCCAGGCTGTATTATGTGTCTTTTGACTTTGTTTTTATTATTATTTTTTTGCCATGCAAAAGTTTCTTTTTGTGGAGTTAGATTTATTAATCTTCTTTTGCTTCTGGATTTTTGAGTCATATTCAGAAAGCCTTTCCCTACACTGAGGGTATAGAGGACACAGATAGTCTTCTCATTGCTGGTAAGCAGTATGTTCATATTGTCTGATTTGACTGAGTTATAAGATAATGTCTTTATCCCAAAGACATTTTTGCAATTGCTGTATGTATATACATTACAGTAACTAAATCTTTTAGTTAAGAGATTCTGGAAAAGAATTGACAATGGATCTAAAGTAGGTTAGTTTCTCTTGAAAGGCTTTTTTTTTGGAGGGGGGATGTCATGATTAAAAATATTTTGTACTATCAGATCTGTTATTTGGTAGTTTTCTTTTATCCTTACCTGTAGTCTTTCAATAAAGTGGGAAAGAAGATGAGATTTCAGTTTGGTATCAGTTTGGTATCAGAACATGTATAGGCCTGGGCAATATAGTGAGACCCTATCTCTACAAAAACAAAAAAAGTATCTGGGCATGGTGACACATGCCTGCAGTCCCAGCAGCTTGGGAGGCTGAGGTGGGAGGACCACTTGAGCCCAGGAGGTTGAGGCTGCAGTGAGCCATGTTTCTGCTACTGCACTCCAGCTTGGGTCACAGAGTGAGATCCTGTTTCAAAAAAAAAAAAAGAACATAGATAAATAGATAAATTTTAGTCACTGATTGGTAAATGAGGCTAGCAGTGTCTTTTTACTATAACTTAAAAATTACCTTGATGAGATTGAGTTAAAGGTTTAACATACTGGTATCCTGATTTAAAATTTACCGGTGACTATGTTTCTGATATCTAAGTTTATAGATTTCCTGAGATTAGTCTTTTAATTTACAGACAATGATGAAGAACAACGATTATATCCAAAGAATATTTTGGCTAGGTTGGCAGGTATGGTTAAGCAAAATAAATATTGGTGGTTAGCAAATCTTTTCTGTCTGTGCTTTTGAGTCTATAGTAACTTTGTCGCATCTGGGTATCTACTATTAGAAAATGCCTACACATTCTAGATCAGTCTTTACTTTTTAACTTAGGTACCTCACATAACATGATTGATCCTCATTTTCTTAACTAAAAAATGAGTATGAGAACTTTTCCTGTGTAATTTTCAATCCATTTGGAAGTACTTGTGTTGTAAAACATGTTTTCATTAGGTTTTCTGGTGTATGGCTGATTCTAATCCATAAATCCTTGTGTACTTTGGCTTTCATTCACTTAATAATTGTCTGCTTTGATGAATACCTTCTGATTTAAGTTCTAGTGTAGCCAAATGTTTTATATATCTATAGTTAGAAAATTTAAAATTTGTTTGTACATTACCATAACAAATGTTCTGAATTTTGTAATATCATCCCAACATACAGTGAATACCGAATTGGAAAAACAGATTTCTAATGAGGCTGATAGTGAAGAAATGAAAATGTCTTCTGAAGTGAAGCATATTTGTGGCGAAGATCAAATTGAAGATAAAATGGAAGTGACAGAAAACATTGAAGTCGTTACACACCAGATCACTGTGCAGCAAGAGCAACTGCAGTTGTTAGAGGAACCTAAAACAGTGGTATCCAAAGAAGAATCAAGGCCTCCAAAATTTGTCATTGAATCTGTCACTCTTCCACTAGAAACCTTAGTGTCCCCACATGAGGAAAGCACTTCATTATGTCCTGAGGAACAGTTGGTTATAGAAAGGCTACAAGGAGAAAAGGAACAGAAAGAAGATTCTGAACTTTCTACTGGATTGATGGACTCTGAAATGACTCCTACAATTGAGGGTTGTGTGAAAGATGTTTCATACCAAGGAGGCAAATCTATAAAGTTATCATCTGAGACAGAGTCATCATTTTCATTATCAGCAGACATAAGCAAGGCAGATGTGTCTTCCTCCCCAACACCTTCTTCAGACTTGCCTTCGCATGACATGCTGCGTAATTACCCTTCAGCTCTTAGTTCCTCTGCTGGAAACATCATGCCAACAACTTACATCTCAGTCACTCCAAAAAACTGGCATGGGTAAACCAGCTATTACTAAGAGAAAATTTTCTCCTGGTAGACCTCGGTCCAAACAGGTAGGGTGATTTTAATGATATTGACAGAAAAGATATTGGAACAATTCTATAAAATCAGAAGGTATATGTGTAGCTTTGGTGTGGATGGCAACTTTTTCTGTCTTCAGATAGAACTTCAGTGTAATGTTGATTATGTGTTTCAGCCATTATTTTTTAAATGCTGTTAATGAAGAATGCCATTTATTAAATTTGAAGGGATCTTATTTGGAATTTCAACTCAGCTGGGCCATAAAGATGCAAACTATGGATAATAGTTTCTAATAGAAAGAACTTTAAAAATTCTTTTAGTTCTGTGCTGCAGTAAATATAGAGCCTAAAATACAGTATAGTTTTGGGTATACAGTAACTAACATCTATTATTTCCTTCTAATATATTTATTGATATTATTTATTGTATATATTTTTAACTGGATAAACATCAACATTTATGACAGGAATTTTCCATGCTGGGGAATTTCTCATTTTGGTGTTTTTATTAATTGCTAACTCTTGTGGGATTTCTTTTTTCAAGTAGGACTTATTTCAGTAGTTTCATGGAAAAAATCTTAGAATTGTACTATTGATTTTCAGTAAGTAAAGATAAATCTTCCTGTGTCTGCTTTACATCATGTGCATTCTACCCTTTAAGAATGAGTTCCATTTCTAAGTGAGATTTAAGTAAAACTGCATGGCAAAATGAGGATACTATAGGTATGAATTATTTATTGTTTTACAAATTTGCTACTTTCTGAAGTGTTTTTTTTAAAATTGCAAGATAAATAGTGGAGAAGTGTTAATTCACAATAGTAATTTGGAGTTTTAAGTTTCATGATTGAAATTGCTTCAAGTGAAGTTTTAAGTTTCATGATTTAAATGGATTAAAGTTTGGCTTTTTATAGGAATAATATCTTGATTTTAATCGTATAATTTTTAAACTGTAAGGCCAGGCTTTTAAGAAAATCATTTTTAATGTGAAAATTAGTCTCCTCTATATCAAAACCAGATATATTTTATTCTCTAAAGACAAGGTACACGAAAGGGAAAGTAGTTGTCAGATGGGATTTAGCTGTTTCTGCATGGCAAAGACGTGTGCAGTAAAACTAGGCCACTCTTTATATATGCCTTTTTCTAAGTATTTTCCTTGACAGTTATTTCTGCTCTACCATGAAAAGATTTTCTTCTCAAACCAGTTGTTCTTTTTTCCAGTAAGTATTTTTTGTTTTGTTTTGAATAGTTATATAATAATTATGTCATTCTGACTCTGAAAAGACTTTAGCAATGGAAATTTGAATCTCAAGTTTACTTTTGGTTGATATATTTACATTCTTTAAAGATACTGCTTCATATGTATTCCTGTTAAATTTTACGTATCTCTCCTTCCTTGGAGACTTTTGTTTCAGTTGAGAAACCAGGTTCAATACATTAGGACTCTCTTTCTGTAGACTTTATGTTCTGAAATATTGGGGAGGGGGGTGTATTTCCAGGCTTATTCCATCTTATATGAGCCATGTCCTAGTATTTTGCTGAGCTGCCTTTGAATTCCCAAATCCGATGATAATCTTTCTATTTTTCTGCCCCTCTTGTTACTACTTCATCATTTTCTGCTAATCTTGTAAGCATTTTGTAGGCTGTGTTTTCCCTCCCTCCAGCTTTTTAGTTTTCCAATCTTGGTTTTAGTTATCTAGCAAACAGCCTTCACTTGATGATGAACCTGCTAATATAGTGCTGTTATTAGGGAGAGTATGAATTGAATAGTACAAGATAGATCTTCCATTGGTGAGGCACAGGGACCATAACTTGCAGGAAATATTCTACAGTTAGCAGGAATGTGTATATACGTATATTAGAAATACTGAAGTTCAGTATTCTGTTACATGAATTTCTTTGATATTAGGCATTTCTGTATTATACTGCTTTTTTTATTTACTGTTGCTTCTACATATTCTTCACATCGGGGACTGGCGGTAAAATAAGCTGCATTTTCCTAGCTGTGATTGTGATGTAAGCAAGATTCTTTGGTTTCCAGCTATTTTTTTGTTAAAGTCACTGGCATTTTCATATTTTGTTGAACATTACCAATTCTTTGGTCTTTACCAGTACAGTAAATACTAACCAAAGAAATGTAGATTTACTTTAAGTTCTGTTTCATGGTGGGCAAATTATTAAGTTGATTTTAATGATTTTCTATAATAGTATTATATGAGCTTTTCTAGGAATTCACTTCAAATTTAAACGAACATTTTAATAGGAAACATCTGAAAGATCTAGTTTGTGATAGCTAGTGATTGGATTATCAGATGTTATCTGGAGGTACAAGCTAGCCAACCAGTAGAACGGTGAGCCAGTGCTGTCTAATAGAAATATGATGCAGACCATATGTGTAATTTTAAATTTTCTAGTAGTTACACTTAAAAAAAGGTGAAATAAATTTTAATGTATTTTATTTAACCTGGTATATTCAAAACAATATTTCAGCATTTAGTATAAAAATGAACAAGATGCTTTATACTTAAAACATCAGTTCTGGCTAGCTGCATTAGAAGTGCTCGGTGGTCACATATGATGGTGGCTGCCTTATTGCACGATGCAAGACAAAACATTTTGAGAAATACAAAAACAGCAGTTCCAGAATTATTGGTGAAATTAAAATACCAAAAGAATTCAAGATCGACAAACTAAGACTGTGGGTGTGCTTTCACAATTTTTAAGGACTGAAGTAGAAATATTCTTTTTCTGTTGTTCATGGAACACATTTTAATGCAGATAATTGTAAACCATTTGTTGTGGCAACAAATCATTCACATCTTCAAGTATATTCAGTTTTAAATATATAATCCAAATAACCCAATATTGGAGATTTTCTGAAGGTGAGATGTTAGGACACAGAAAATGGAATTTATATCTCAGGTATTGGACATCCATTATGAAATATCAAATCATATAGAATTATGTTCCTTTAAGGAGGTTAGTAATTAAAAGTTTAGTTTTTCGTATTTTTCCTTTCATATGGAATATTTCAGGTGTTATTTAGTTAGAAATATGATGCTTATTTTCTTTATGACATGTTTGAGATATATCTCAAATGTATGATTTAGAACCTGACTACAGGAATAGTAACACATTTTTCTGATGGCTGTGAATAGAATAAGATTCCTTTTGTTTTTTGTTTTTTTTGCCTATTACAATAGATGCAGGATTTCACAAAGATGAGGAAAAATTAGACATGATAAGGTAGAAGTAACAGACAGCAAATTGGATATTGTTTCATACAAATTGTCCTAATGACCTAGTTGTATTTTCTCATCTTTTATTGAAGTTATATATTCATAAATAATTTAGTATTTCATTTTTCAGCATTTAAAAATATTTTTTATTTTTTTATAGAGATGGGGGTCTTGCTGTGTAGACCAGGCTGGTTACAAAGTCCTGGCCTCAGGAGATCCTCCCATCTCGGGTCTCCCAGAGTGCTGGGATTACAGGTGTGAGCCCCACAGCGCCTGGCCCATTTTCAACATTTCTATAGGTATATGTGCTTTGCAACTTGGGTTTAAGAAAGTGGTTATTGACACTGACACATATTGTAATCAACTCAGTAGATTTTAGAACATCAAGCTAATGACCCTACCCTAGACCAATTAAAATGCACTTCTAGGATCATCTTTAACTGTAACCCTGAAAGTGGAGTCCTGAACTAGAGAAATGTGCTACTTGTCTTACTGATTTTTAAAAATGCATTAAAATTAATACTATAAGGAATGCTCTTTAAAAATGGTGGAAAATAAAGTGGAAATTTTAAATTTGTCATATTAAATCATAACATTTGTTTTTATTTCTGTCTTCAGTCCATTTCTCTCATTGCACAATTGTATTCCCATTCTAATTAGGAAATTCTGAGATAATAATCTTAGGTCTTCTTGTATGATTTACCCTGTATGTATCATCACGTCTTATAGAAAGATATTGAATGTAATCACACTACTATGATCTACTTCAGACACCCTCATGTTCTAATTGCTTTCATGGTGGTATTGAAAGTTTTTATTAAGCATTTTATGAAACGTATTATTTGCAGTAGATATTTCTTTATTTTATTTTTATTTATTTCTTTGAGATTGAGTCTTGCTCTGTCACCCAGGCTGGAGTTGTGGCACGACCTCGCTCACTGCAGCCTCTGCCTGCCTGGCTCAAGCAGTTCTCCTGTCTCAGCTTCCTGAGTAGCGGGGACTACAGGCACACGTCAACACACCTGGCTAATTTTTTTTATATTTTTAGTAGAGATGGTGTTTCGCCATATTGGTTAGGCTGGTCTTGAAATCCTGACCTCAGGTGATCCACCCGCCTTGTCCTCCCTAAGTGCTGGGATTACAGGGGTGAGCCACCACGCCCAGCCTGCAGTAAATATTTCAAGAAAATTTCATAAATGGAAACATAGGTACTGTATTTTGATATCTCTTGGACAAATTATTAGAAGTTTACTTTATATTATAAGAAGAGTACTTTCAGTTTTAAAAGTAGCCAGAGAACCATAGTGTTAAACCTAAAAAATACCTACCCCTTTGGAACACCAAGCTAACAACACAGCAGATTAGAAGTACCAGACTTTGCTTTTAGTTCACTTGTGCTTGTTGTGGTATTTTTGGAGACATTACTGTTGCTAGCACTACCTAATTTGTATTGTGAAATTATTGAAGGCTAAAGCTGATAATAACTGTTCCTGTAGTTATCAAAACAGGATTGGGTCTAATTTCTTGTTCTACTTGATATTGAACTCAATTTTATATATGAGACTTCTTTTAATAATTCCCTAAAGAGTGAAGTGTTGGCTGCTGTAACTCCAGTGTATACAAGTGATTGTATTTACCAAAAAGACAAACTGTAAACTCTTTTGTTTCTTTTACCAGTTATCTTCCTTTCTGCCCTCTGTCTTCATTGCTTTCACTTTTCGCAAATTAGACTTACTGTTTATAAGCAACCTTGGTTTTACATAGTATGTTGGAAGAGTGTGGGGCCGGGGTTGATTTAAGATTTGGAGGCGTAAAGTTTGCCTTTGAGACACCAAACCTTCTATGGCTGCTTTTAAAACTGATAGTACTCTTGGGCTGTAAGAATGACTTTGATCGTATTTAACAATCAGCAATAGAATTTGACTTTTAATAGAAAGTTGCTTCTAAATAGCCTATCCTCCACTTGTCATTATTGTTCTCATTTCCCCATCCCACAGTCCTTGTATAATTTACTAGCTTGGACAGTTTACCTGAGAAATTGGCCTCAAAGCAGAAAGAAACTTAATGCTAATATTAAACTATTTTTGGGTTAAATTATTTTTCTTAGGTTCAAATTCAGTCCCTGCCAGGTAGTGTTTTTTTAGTTTCTGTAGTATTTGATAGCAAGTTGATTCTATTTACAACTTAATAATGATTACATTAGGAACTATTTTGCTTTTAATTCAGTTTGTAGATTAAGGAGGCATTATATAGATTTTTTAGTAATTTTTAGTAACTTTTTTTTAAGTGAAGAAATTCAAGATTCTAGGTTATTACTGGTGGAGGCATTAGTGTGTTTCATATCATAGCTCATTGTTTATTGATGAATTCATACACACATGCAAAAAAAGATAATAGATGCTCAGCAGAAAAAAAGTTCAGTAAGTGCTGAACAGGGTGCTTAACGTAGCAGTGGACAGAAAGGGGCATATCTTTAATTACAGTGTAAAAAGTGCTGCAACTGGATTGTAGGAGAAGAGCCCATACATTACAGGGGCAGGTAACCTTTTCTGAATGGTTTGTGTAAATTCTTGATCAAAGCTAAGATCTGAAGGATAATTTAAACTTTGATAATTATAGCTATATTTTAGTTTTAAGGTCTAAGGAATATACTAGATAATTTGTCAGAATATCTAAGTATAATGATAATTTTTCTTCAGAACTATAAAATTACACAAAGTCTGTCTTTTCAAAGTGAGATAAAATTTTGGCATCAAAGCTAACTTTTAAATTATGATGAATAATACATAATTACCAGAAAATTCTTATTTCTGAAATAAAATTATTCAACATTATTTTTATCTTAGAGTATGACTTTCTGTCTCATATTTTTTAGAACTGTCTACTGCCAACATAATATTAAACTATTGACTAAAAAGAATTTAAGATGTATGTTAGCCAAATCTCAGAGAAAAACCAATGGAAATATTGAGAGAAGTAATTTAGGTATCTCTTGCCCCACTGCCTACCACTAAATAAAATTACAAACAATAAAACGTCCTAGGTGGTGATGCAATGAGAGGCACTAATGGTGTGGTAAGAGAGATGATGGTTCACTGGGAGCACTAAGGAAAGGTCTCCTGATGAGAAAATATGTAAGGCCATACCTGAAGGGTTAGAAAACGCCAGACATGGCTGGCCGTGGTGGATCACATCTGTAATCCCAGCACTTTGGGATGCCAAGCCTGGTGGATCACAAGGTCAGGTGTTTGAGACCAGCCTGACCAACATGTTATTGCTCCTAAAATACAAAAATTAGCCGGGCCTGGTGGTGCATGCCTGTAATCCCAGCTACTCAGGAGGCTTGAGGAAGGAGAATTGCTTGAACCTGGGAGGTAGAGGTTGCAGTGAGCCGAGATCACACCACCACACTCTAGCCTGGGTGACAGAGTGAGACTCCATCTCAAAAAATAAAGAAAGAAAGAAAATGCCAGACATTTATTGAAGGGCCAGAATGGTATAGTGAAGTGTTCTGAGTCAGCTGGGCTCTGATTGATACAGAGCTTGGCATGTTTGAAGGACAGCAAGGAAGCCAGAATAGCTGGAGCATAGCAGCAGGGAGACAAGTGCCACAAGATAAGTTGGAGAAAAGCACTGGGAAAGGTTTGTATTTTAAGTGCTCTGAGAAGCAATTGAAGGTTTGAAATAGAATAGTGACTTGCTTGATCACATTTGTACTTTTGAAAAGTTCCTCTGGCTGCTGTGGGGAAAGGTTTGAGTAGATGCAGGGTGGGAGAAGCATAACCAGCAGTAGACTCTTGTAGCAGGTTAGGTGAGAGATGGTGGTGGCCACGAGTGTGCTACTAGTGGTGGAAGTGACAAGAAGTAGAAGGATTGGAGACAAAACTTGAAGATAAAAAGTCTTGAATTTGCTGATGATTTGCATTGATGAAGTGTTGGGGGAGAGGCCTGAAGGAGCAGAGGAGAGTGACAAGGGACTGGATGCCATTTATAAGGATGGGGAAGACTGGGATGAAACCGGTTAAGGGAGAAATTTTAAACATGGCAAACTTAAGAAGGGTTTTGTGTGAGAAAATGGAAATGCTAAGAAGGAAGTTGAAAATCCTGCTAATTTGGAGATCTTTGATTAAAGCCAGAAATAAGAATGTGGGAAGCATCAACTTCCAAGATGCCCTCATTGTAGATAACACCATTTAGGATCTAGGCTCAAGCCCTGGGAAACTCCAGGGCTTTGGAAGCCAAATAGAGGAAGAACACGTACAGGAGATGAAGAAAGATTAGCGAGGAAGGCAGTGAAATATCCACAGGTGGACTGCTGCCAAATCCAGCAGAACCGTATGCCAGATGTCAGGAGCATGAGTAAAATGAGAAAAGAGAAATGGCTTTTGACAACACCTCCCTACTAATAGTAGGGAAGAAGACATAGGTACAGATTCAAGTTGATTGGAAATTATGAAAGTGAGGTAACTGACCTGCAGTGGTTGCTGCTCAGTGAAATCAGCATAGTGATTACCTGAGCTAGGTTAGAGATTTGATGGGTAAGAAAGAACACCTGAGGGTAATCCTGGAAGGGAAAAAATTAAGTGTTTGCTGGAGAGAATGAATTGGATTGCTGGACTTCAATGTGTGTGGGTTGAGTTAGTGACTTAAAAATGAAACCAGGCTATTGCTTGTGTGGCTTTTCTCAAAATACTGTTATTCCATTACCTATCTCTTACCCCAAGAGTAGTCACATTCTTATTTCTGGTTATTTTAATTCCTGGTGGTATTTTTATGTGATTAATGAGATAGTACTTGTTAATTTGATGATATTCTAGAAACCTGGTAAGTACTATGTACCTTAAGTTTTGGTTACTTGATTGGTAAAATTATGCATGCACCATTGAATTACCTAATTCAAAATATATTCTTTTATTGTTTGACATTTGTCTTGTTTTTCTTTAAAATGTTATCTTTGTGGAGTAAACATTTTTCTTTATGCTGTTTAACATCTTCAGATTAGTTCAGGGTATTGCTGAATGTGGTTGTTCAGAAGTAAAATGCTTTAGTTTCAGTTATATAGATTTTAATAAGATACTACTTTCTATATAATTTATCAGGCACTTTAGGCATTTTAATTTGCAAATTTAGGACAATTTGCTTTAACGTTTCTTCACTTTTGTCCATTGGATGTAATTTCCATAGAGTATTCATTTCCCTAAATAAAAACCAAAACCAAACCGACAACTAATGGTCACTGAAGAAAGAGTGATTAAATGCTAAGATTATAATGGTATTTGCATTTTAATGTTACCAGCTCTCTACAGTTTAAAGTTTATGCATTTATCGATTGCTTATGTTTCTCATTGCATTCTTTGGCCTACTGGTTTTGGTTGTTTATAGCTATAGAATATAGAATTCCTTATGGTTATCCATTTCTCCTTTTAAGTAGAGTGATAGTTGTTAGAAGAAAAATAACCCCCCAATACTTTCTTCTAGTGTTAATTCTTAAAGTGTGATTGACTTTTATTTACTTTTTGGTGCAGTAATTGCAGTTCATGAGTCAATGTTGATGTCACATAAACCTTAATTTTTAATGTTTCATTGTAGTGATGTCTCTGTAGCAGCAAACATTTAAGTTATTTGTTATAGTTAAATGTTTAAATCACTGTTAGTGATTAGCTTATTTTGCCTTCCTTGAAGCAATTTGTCCTAAATTTCCATACGTTTGCATTTGTTTTTGCTGTCCTAAAATTCCTTAGTTGCTGGCTTTGACCTTTTATGTTGCTGAGTTTTACACATCTATTTTCTCAACTGCCATATCTTAGGAGGCTTGGAGTACCCATAATACAGTGAGCCCACCCTCGTGGTCCCCAGACATTTCAGGAGGTCGGGAAATTTTTAAACCCAGGCAGCTTCCTGGCAGTGCCATTTGGAGCATCAAAGTGGTACATAAAATTACATTTACATTCATATATCACTTCTGTCTGATTTGTTTTGCCCTACTGGATGTTAAGAATTAAATCTTTCTTTTCTAGATTGAGCTTCCAGAAACACTTTTTAAATCTAAAAATTTTAATGTAAAGAAATAATATGCTTGCATTTAAAAATCAAGTATACATTTTTAATACCTCTTTTTATGGTTAATTCCTTTTGTTGTGATTACTACTGGTTTTATGAGGGAGAAGTCCTTGACATGTAGACCAAAATGTAATTAAGGATCTTTTCATTCATGATACATAAAACTTTGTTGCTTAGAAAAAAGCAAAAGAAAAAACTCCATTAATTTATTATGTTCTCATGGACAAGAAATACCAAAATTGTGGCAGATTTCATTGTCTGTTTAATACCTTAAAATGACAAGGCTTTTTCCCCCATGACATTGGTTGATGGCTCTGCCAGTCCTTGAAGTGAGTTAAGTAGTGTGATGCATTTTGAAGAGAAAAAAAATTACTTTGAAAAAGTATTAACTCAAAAGTTAAAATACTTCATTGACCGGAGATGACAGTTCTTCTTCATATTCTATATTTAATATTCTGGAATATGGCTGTTTAATTTAGACTCATGAACGATTTTAAGGAATTCTAGATTATACTTTATTTTCTTTCATGACTGGAAGAACTATTTTTTTAACCTCCCTACCTCCCCCTGATATCATCCAAGATATTGAAGTATAAATATGCCTCATTTGACAGTTTGATAATATAGACCACCAGTTTTTACTTAATTTTTTTCTGGGTCAGCATTTCATGTTGGAGAAGATAAATTGAGAGACTACTGTAGTCTTGATTTTTAATCACTGACTTAATTTTTCAAAAATCTTTTATACCAATTTAATAACAAAACAAACTCGGCTGGGCGCAGTGGCTCATGCCTGTAATCCCAGCACTTTGAGAGGCTGAGGGGGCAGATCACTTGAGGTCAGGAGTTCGAGGCCAACCTGGCCAACATGGTGAAACCCCGTCTCTACTAAAAATACAAAGAAATTTAGCCACGCGTGGTGTCATGTGCCTGTAATCCCAGCTGCTAGGGAAGCTGAGGCAGGAGAATTGTTTGAACCCAGGAGACGGAGGTTGCAGTGAGCCAAGATCGCACCATCGCACTCCAGCCTGCGCAAAGAAGCGAGACTCTGTCTCAAAAACAAACAAAAAACCCAAAAAACTAACCTGACCCCATCCGTCCGTTGTGCAAAGAACCTGATGCACTTCTCTAAAGGGATCTCAAGGAGAGCAGGGTAAGAGAAGACAGGAGTGGCAGTTTGAAACTGGGAGCTGGCTGTATTTATTACATCCAAAGGGAGAAAAGCCATTCCTCCCATTCCTTTTGTTCATGTGTATCTATTTTATGTTTACAGTATCACCATAAATTTTTGACTTGGAAACCATTCTGCTAAATAGGGAATAAGTTCATTTCAAACTATGATAAGGGACATCAGTTGAAGATATGACATATTATTTAACTTATGGTGAGGGAAACACCTAAGTATTTTCCTGAGCATCTGGATAATTTTAAATATACATAATTCAACTACTTAGGTAGGTGCCAGGTTTTTTCAAGGAGTAATTAATTAGTACAAACAAGGGTGAGGGGGCAGGGAACACCATACTCTGGTACTTAATGTCTGAAATTATCAGGGAATTTAACACATTTTCCCATAGGTTTATTTCTTGTGTAAGAAGTCAGATAAATTATTTCCATTTCAAGTATTTATTATTCAGATTATTTAAAGCAAAGCTTTCACAAAGCCTTTTGTCAGCTTTCCTGTAATCCTCAAATAATTTTTCCTGGCTGGATGCTTTGGCTTACTCCCGTAATCCTGGCACTTTGGGAGGCAGAAGCAGGAGGATCACTTGAGCCCAAGAGTTCTAGGCTGCAGTGAGCTGTGATCACACCACTGCAGTCCAACCTGAGAGACAGATCAAGTTCTTGTCTCAAAAATAAAAGTAATAACAATAATAATAAATTTTCCTCTAAATACAACGGTGAATGAGGTAGAAATGTTGAGTTCATAAGAGAACTGTTGAATAGTGAAGGAAACTGACTTAATTCTAATGACAGGAAGAATACTGTCACACACTAGCAAAAATGAACTTTCATGCTGATGTAGCAGTACAGAATATGCTTCCAACCCAGGGACGCTGGAGCCAGGCTTGCTAGCTAAGTGACCTTGGACAAGTTACTTAACCATTTTATTCCTCAGCACACTCATCTCAAATGAGGATAATAAAACCTACTATATGGGATGGATGAGAGTAAAAAATACTTAGATTAGTACATAGTAAGTACTCAATAGATGTTAGCTATTACTGTAATCACCGTGAGACCAGTTAATGAGAGAGTTTTTCCTTATCCTTACTCTATATTGAATACAATTTGTTGCACTTCGAAATATCTGGATCAGGCTACAGTTGTTGTCGTCACCGAGAATGTAGGAGTGGGAAAGAGAAAAATCATGCAAAGTCTTGCTGATAGCGTTCACAGTGACAGGCCTAAAGTATGATTCTAAGGTTGTAAGCATTTTATATTTAGATTTTTAAGTTGTGGAGTATACTTTTAAAGATAAAAATAATAAGCCAGGTCTTTTAATACTTATCTAAAGAAGTGTTTGTATAACATTTAATAAAATGTTTTATCTCAGTGGCATTTGGATTTAAAAATTATTTTGGGCTGTCACAGAATGTTGACTTTTCCTAATCTGTTACATAGGGCCATGGGTCTGGATTTCCAAGAAAGCGGAGACCTCGAGGTGCAGGACTGTCGGGGCGAGGTGGCCGAGGCAGGTCAAAGCTGAAAAGTGGAATCGGAGCTGTTGTATTGCCTGGGGTGAGGCTTGCTTCATGTATATTTTCTCTAATCTAAATGTCAGTTAATGATGAAAATCTCATAGCAAGTTATTTTGATGAGTCATATAAATAGGTCAAAATGTTTATTTTACTGTCCTACTTTTTTTTGAGCCTCTGGTTACATTTTCTTGTATATTTACTTTCTCATCCTTTCTCTTTTCTTACCTTCCTCTTTGACTCCTTATCTTTCTATGCCAACCCTCTCTAAAAAGTCATTATGTAATATAGTTGCTCTTTTATTTAAAAAATTTTAAGATTGATAGATATTTGCTATCATGTTATGAAGCTTTATTTGTATGTGTATTACAAATACATTTGCTAACTACTAGCAAATATTTTATGTAATAACTTTGCTATTTTATTAAAATCCTGTTTTTAAAATTCTGAAATGTCATTTTAAGTATAGGAGACAGTGAAATTGTTCAAGTTTACCACTAAACCAGGAATAAGGAAACTTAGATTCTCGTCCTTTTTTCAAAAAGAAAAATTTTAAAACCAGGCTTATTGAGGTATAGTTGATATAAGCTATATTTGACTTGACATGTACAATTCCATCAGCTTTGATATATATATATATATATATATATACACCCTTGAAAATGATACCACAATCATGACAGTGAATATATTCATCTCCCAACGTTTCTTCATGTCCCTCTGTAATTTTCTGCATTCCCCCTGCCATCCGTCCTTGTCCCCAAGATTAGTTTGCATTTTCTAGAGTTGTATATAAGTGGAATCATACAGAACTGTATGCTTTTTGGACTGATTTATTTCAGCACAATTATTTGGAGATTCATCTATGCTGTTGTATTTGTTAACCGTGTACTCCCTTTTCTTGCTGTGTATTAATAAAACTGTGGATGCACCACGGCTGTAGACCTGTGCACTTTTTTTTCTTCTTTTTTTTTTTTTCTGAGACAGGTTCTCGTTCTAATTCGTGGCTGGAGTGCAGTGGTGCGATCATAGCTAACTCCAGCTTTGACCTCCCACCTCCGTCTCCCGAGTAGCTGGGACCATAAGTGTGTGCCACCACACCCAACTACTTTTTTAAAATTTTTAATAGAGACAGCATCTCACTATGTTGTCCAGGCTGGTCTCGAACTTCTGAGCTCAAGCAATTTTCCCACCTTGGCTTCCCAAAATGCTGGGATTACAGGCATCAGTCACCATGCCCCAGCCTGTAGTCTTACATTCTTGTAATGTCTTCGTCTGGTTTTGGTATCAGCATAACTCCAGCTTCATAGAATGAATCAGAAAGTATATTCTCCTCTTCAGTTTTCTGGAAAAGTTGTGTAGTAGTGGAAATGTATCTTCTTATATTATACATGAATTTATTAGTGAAACCATCTTGGCCTGAAATTTTCTTTGTGGGGGGTTTTTGTTGTGTTTTCTTTTTTTTTTCTTTCTTTCTTTTGAGATGGAGTTTCGCTCTTGTTGCCTAGGCTGGAGTGCAATGGCACAATCTCAGCTCATGCAACCACTGCCTCCCAGGCTCAAGTGATTCCCCTGCCTCAGCCCCCTGGGTAGCTGGGATTACAGGTTCCTGCCACCATGCCTAGATAATTTCTTTTTTTGTATTTTTAGTAGAGACAGTTTTTCACCATGTTGGCCAGGCTGGTCTCGAACTCCTGACCTCAGGTGATCCACCTGCCTTGGCCTCCTAAAGTGTTGGGATTACAGGCATGAGCCACCATGCCCAGGCTGGAGTGCAGTGGCGTGATCTCTGCTCACTACAGCCTCCACCTCCCAGGTTCAAGCAATTCTCCTGCCTCAGCCTTCTGAGTAGCTGGGATTACTGGCATGCACCAACATGCCTCGCTAATTTTTGTGTTTTGGGTAGAGATGGGGTTTTGCCATGTTGGCCAGGCTGGTCTTGAACTCCTGACTTCAGGTGATCCGTCTCCCAAAGTGCTGGGATTACTGGATGAGCCACCAGTGCCCAGCCTGTGGGACAGTTTTTAACAACAAATTTTATTTCTTT